>NC_000009.12:105190248-105341764 GCF_000001405.40 Homo sapiens
CTGTCCCTTCCCCTGTAAGTTCTGTCCCAGGGAAGTGCAGCACTGCTATTGGTGGCTGGCTGGAATTCCAAGCCAGTGGGTCTTATCCTGTGAGGTGTCATGGAAGTGGAACCTGCAGAATGTCACTGCTCGGCCCCCTGGATTCAGCCCCTTTCCTAGGGGGGTCTAACCTCCCACTTTGCTGGAATTGCAGCTACTTTTGTCAGGAAGCCCAGAAAGCCCAGGTATCTAAGGCTCCTGGGTCTCTGCATGTACCTGAGCAGCTGCTCTGCCAAGGCTCCATGTAGCTCTGTGTGTCAGACTGAAGGCCCTGGTGGAGTGGGTTCACGAGGGGATCTCCTGACACAAGGATTACAAAGATCTTTGGGAACAGGGTGGGTTCCCAGGGTCACATATGCTCTCACCACTTCCCTGGGCAGGGGGAGGCTCCCCTGGCTCTGTGGCACTCCTGAGTGAGCTACTGTCCTGCCCTGCTATTCTCCATTCTCCATGGGTCAAGTTGTTTCCTTGATTAGTCCCAATGCATGTACCTGGATGTTTCAATGAAGGTACTGTATTTACTCACCCCTTTGATTCCTCTCTGTGAGAGCTACGCACACTACCTGCTTCTAGTCGACCACCTTGGCCACCTCCTGCCCCCAGCAGTCCCGTTTCCCTTTTTTTTTTTTTTAAAGATGGAGTCTCAGGCCGGGCGCGGTGGCTCACACCTGTAATCCCAGCACTTTGGGAGGCCGAGGCGGGCGGATCACAAGGTCAGGAGATCGAGACCATCCTGGCTAACACTGTGAAACCCCGTCTCTACTAAAAATACAAAAAATTTGCTGGGCGTGGTAGTGGGCGCCTGTAGTCCCAGCTACGGGGAGACTGAGGCAGGAGAATGGCATGAACCCGGGAGGCGGAGCTTGCAGTGAGCTGAGATCGTACCACTGCACTCCAGCCTGGGCGACAGAGCGAGACTCCGTCTCAAAAAAAAAAAAAGAAAAAACAACAACAACAAAGATGGAGTCTCACTCTGTCGCCCAGGCTGGAGTGCAATGGTGTCGTCTCAGCTCACTGCAACCTCTGCCTGCCAGATTCAAGCAATTCTGGTGCCTCAGCCTTCCAAGTAGCTGAGATTACAGGCATGAGCCACCACACTGGGCTAATTTTTTGTATTTAGTAGAGACGGGGTTTCACCATCTTGGTCAGGCTGGTCTCGAGCCCCTGACCTCAGGTGATCCTCCCGCCTTGGCCTCCCAAAGCACTGAGGTTACAGGCGTGAGCTACTGCGCCTAGACTCTGTTTTCTTATCCTTTTATTAGTCCCGTTGTGTTACTGTGTGCAATACTCGCTGCACATTTTAGCGGACTTTAAATGTGCTGCAACCGTTGAGTTGGATCTGCTATACTCTAAAGAGGAGAGACTCCTCTATTAGGTTGGAATCAGTATTTCCACGGTTTCATTAGTGAGGATTCAGACACCCAGATCCTTTCTCAAAAAGGGAGTTGTACTCACAAATGCCTGTTTTATAGAGATCCACACCCATATTCTAGGAATGCCCTTTTTCCTTGTGCATACAGCTGAGTAATGGGTCTTCTCAACTTTTTTTCTGAGGAATGAAAGAGGAAGGTGTTTGTATTTGTTCTCTATTGCTACATAAAAATTACCACAAATTTCGTGACTTAAAACGACACCCATTTTTCAGTTTGCGGTTTTGTAAGTCGAAAGTTCAATGCTTTCACAATCAAACAGGAGACAACAGTGGGTCTAGCTGCCCAGGAGGAGTGATCTGGGAAACTAGGTCATTTTACACCAGAGCCATGACCTTGGCTAGCCAACTCTTTAGTGCTACAGCCACTTCAGTCAAGGAAAAGAAAAGGACAGGATTCAGAGTACTTTTGAAGAGCGTGAGAAAGCAGCTGAATTGGGGTTTTGCTAGGTTTACAGACTTTCCTGAGTGTTTCTGAAACCTGACTTCAGATCAAAATTTCATTTCCTATGACAGGATAGTTGGGACTGTGTTGGATTCATCAGCACACTGAAATTTGTCTAAGTCTCCAAAAAAAAAAACAAAAAACAAAAAAAACAAAACTCTCCTGACTCTTTAACTTTTCTTCTGTTGTCTGGACTCCCTTGAGGCTGCTCTTAAACTATTCTCTTTTCCAAGGTACCCTGAAAGAAAACGAATCTCTCAGGGCTTCAAAATGCAAAAGCAGCCAAAATCCTCCCTTTGCTTCCCATTTTTTTCTTTTTACTTTGAGACAGGAGTCTCATTCTGTCACCGAGCCTGGAGTGCAGTGGTGCGATCTTGGCCCACTGCACCTCTACCTCCCGGGTTCAAGTGATTCTCCTGCCTCAGCCTCCCGAGTAGCTGGGACTACAGGTGCATGCCACCATGCACAGCTAATTTTTGTATTTTTAGTAGAGACAGGGTTCACCATGTTGGCCAGGCTGGTCTCAAACTCCTGACCTCAAGTGATCTGCCCACCTTGGCTTCCCAAAGTGCTGGGATTACAGGCATGAGCCACTGAGCCTGGCCCCGTTGCTGTTACAATAGACTTACAGTCTTCACTTAGGCTTAAAGGAAGACACCTGAGCAGAATTGGGGTTCGTTTTACTATTCCAGTCTACAAGACAGAATTTGAAGGCTGCCACTCTCTTACTTTCTCTAACATGCTGCATTTTCACTTTTAAAGAACAGAGGCAGCTAAAGGCAGGTCTGTGTTCTCTCTCGGTTGGAGACATTTTTTACAACCAGTTTCGTTAACCAGTTAGAAAGCCTTCTTTTTTATTTGATATTTAAGATTTATGTGGCTCAGTTGCTTGAATGTAGCAAAGACTCACGTGCATTTAAATAGTATGCTTGGTTCTAAGATGTCAGAAGAGGCCAGATACTGCTACGGCTCTTTGGGATTCAAGATACCAAGCAGTTGCAAGAAGAGGAATGTGTGAATGGGCTCTCCAAGAGAAATAGCAAATGCTCCTATTTCTGCTTCTTTTGGTAATAGTCCCACTTAAAGGATACGGTTGTTAACCTACAACAGGAAAGGGATGCTAAATCTGGTGGAGAGTGAAGAAGATATTACAGTGAGGAAAAAGGAATTAACCTATAAAAACTATGTGGGGAACGGCTTATTACTTTGAGTTGACCTTGAGACTTTTCATCGCCTACTTCTGTGCCACCAGCTGGCTTCACATGGACAATAAACTTCTCCAAAATACTTAGTGTAAAGTTGTTGTTTGTCTTCATTAATTTACCCTGGTGACCCCGGGGTGGGACATTACTCCATAGGGGGTAGTGCAGTCTCAGGATAACCCTAGCCACCCACTCAATTACCAAGGGCCAAATTGTCACACATAGCTGTTTACCCACTGCTTCCCTTTTGGCAGCCTTACCTGTGGTTATGGTTGCCCCCCACGTCCCTAGCAAACCCAACTTTGTCTTTCTCACTTTTATCAGTATATTTCTATTCAGCAGCCAAGCTATCCTGGACCAATGGCACCGTCTAGTCCATATGCCTAACACATGGCAGGCACTTAAAATACATTAACTGAATCCAACACTTCCTCCTTTACTTCCAAATTAACATATTCTCTCAAATGGATGGGACTTATCTCTTTCTTATTCTAGATGCTGTTTTCTCTGACTCTGTACCAGGACAGCGAAATGACTATTCCTACTTTCAGAGATATTGCCCCACCTAGATATCACCTAGGTGTCACAGATCCTAGGCATTCATTTTTTTAAATCCACCTTGAGAAAATTTGTACATTAAATTGTTGCTCCTTGGTTCCAAATGGCTTATTTAGGACCTTTTTGACAAGTAGCTTGTCAAAGCATTTGACTGTTTCCTTTATTGACAACACAACCTTTCTCTTGCAGGTTGACACCAGAGAAAACACTAAACTTTCAAGTATCTAATCTTTATCCAAGTTCCAGTTGCAGAAAATAATATTTTTGAAGAATTACCTAAAGGATGTGTAGTTCAACCATTCCTCTGAGCCATCAAAATGTTATCTTTGGATCAAGTCAAACCATCGGAGAAAATTGATTTGGCTTTTGCTTGTTGTGGCTGGTGTTTTGACATTAACCTACAGGGAGGGAGATCATTTTTAAGAGACCATAAAAAAATTTTGTTTGGGAGCCTTTTATAGACATGTTGTCAAAGGCTGTCACAAAGTATTTTCTGGAGGATTACGCAAGAGAAGTTTCTCTTCATTCTCAGTTCTAGGAATTTGACTTTATTTTACGTACACTGTGAATAAGACCTCTTTGCATTCATTTTAGGAAGCTCAATTTTAAGTTGGTGGCCCATCTTTAACAATGCGTAGGACCTCAAAATTTTGTATGCTGACCTTATCTCTGGCTTTACTATAATTTGCTACTCTTTGCTACTTTATTGTAATCTGGCTACCCTTTGTTTTTTTCTGTTTGCTCAGATTTCCCTACTTAATTTTTTACTGTAGTATACTGTATATTTTTGGAAGCTGCCACAAATCCTTTGGAGAAGAAGGCAGACATAAATATATTGTGATTTTTATTAATTCAAAGATCTATGTCGATCAATCTCAAAACTATATTATAATCAAATAACATTATACAATAACCAAAGGTGATTATTAAAAAAGAATTCCATTTCTGCTTGCCATTTTTTAAAACTTTGAGGCAAATCCACATATATAGCATACAGCACCACTTACTAAAATTCTGTTTCTTCACCTATCCATTTGTCTCGGTCTCCTCTAGTATCTTTCTCTTCCCACACTTCACAAAGCTCATCCAACAACACTCCATTCCCAACGGCTATTTCCTCCCCCTTCCCTCTCTCTTTGCTGTATTCACTTGTTATGTGACTTCATCAAGCAAGATCCCATCAGTTTTTGAAGAAAGGAGAAATGAGAAAATGTGGCTGGCCACTTGAGGACTCCTTTTGCTGGGGGAAGAGAGTAAGGCAAATAACACTCTGAAATAAATAATTTGTCTCATTACACATAAATAATTACTTCATTTTTAAAAATGTATCAGTCACTAAAGCTTTATTAGGCTTTACTTAAGGTATCATCCAAGAAAGTCAGTACTTCTGGACACATAAGGGCTGTATTAGTCTGTCTCACACTGCTAATACAGACATACCAGAGACTGGGTAATTTATTAAGAAAAGAGGTTTAATTGACTCACAGTTGCATATGGCTGGGGAGGGCTCACAGTCATGGCAGAGAGCAAATGAGGAGCAAAGTGGCAGGCAAGAGAGAACTTGTGTAGGGGAACCGCCCTTTATAAAACCATCAGATCTTGTGAGACTCATTCACTATCTCTAGAACAGCACGGGAAAGACCTGCCCCCATGATTCAATTACCTCCCACTGGGTCCCTCTCAGGATACATGGGAATCATGGGAGCTACAATTCAAGATGAGATTGGTGGGGATACAGCCAAAGTATCTCCGGGGCCTTGAGTACTTCTGAGGAGAGAGAGGAGGGAAAGAAGAAAAGATGCCATATACTCGAAAGGATGAGCCTATACTGAGAAATAATCTGCCATGTGCAAGAAAACATTCTTGGTATTCCTGCCTTTCAAAATTAGAACAACCTAAGTGTCCACTATTAGAGAAATGATTAGGTAAATTACAATCTATTCAGGAAATGGCATATTGTTCAGCCATGAAGTGTTTATTTTGTTTTGTTTTGTTTTGTTTGAGACAAGGTCTCGCAGCTCTGTTGCCCAGGCTGGAGTACAGTGGTACTATATTGGCTCACTGCAACCTCTGCCTCGCGGGTTCAAGTGATTTTCATGCCTCAGCCTCCCGAGCAGTTGAGATTACAGGTGCTTGCACCAACACCCGGCTAATTTTTGTATTTTTAGTAGAGATGGGGGTTTCACCATGTTGGTCAGGCTGGTCTCGAACTCCTGACCTGAAGTGATCCACCTCCTTGGCCTCCCAAAGTGCTGGGCCAGCTCGCCCCCCGAAGTGTTTATTTTGAAGAATGTATGGCAGCAATGAAAAAAAGTTTATGTAATAATAAGCCAAAAAAAAAAGCAAAACAGAAAATCGAATTGTGTTGTAATCTACCTATCAGTTTATGTATCTGTACCAGCATTAGACAGAGGGAAAAGCTAGCAGTTGGGTCGGGGGAGTCAGGTCAAGATAGAATCCTGAGGAACACTGACATTTATGGTATATTCCAGGAAGGCATACCTTCAAAGGAGACAGAAAAGATGAAGCAAAGAAGCCATGAAAAGGAGGGAACTAGGCTGGGCGCGGTGGCTCACACCTGTAATCCCAGCACTTTGGGAGGCCGAGGCGGGCGGACCACGAGGTCAGGAGATCGAGACCACTGTGAAACCCAGTCTCTAAGAAAAATACAAAAACAATTAGCCAGGCGCGGTGACGGACGCCTGTAGTCCCAGCTACTCGGAAGGCTGAGGCAGGAGAATGGCGTGAACCCGGGAGGCGGAGCTTGCAGTGAGCCGAGATCGTGCCACTGCACTCCAGCCTGGGGGACAGAGCAAGACTCCGTCTCAAAAAAAAAAAAAAAAAAGAAAAGAAAAGAAAAAAAGAAAAGGAGGGAACTGACAGCATGACATTATAGAAGCTGAGAGAAGATGGCACATTCAAGGGGTCTGGCACTTAATGTCCATTACCACATTTAGTCCTCACAAAAGGCTTGGGTGAAAGATCCCCTTATACCCATTTTGCTGTAAGCAAAGTAGGTTTCAAGAGGCTGAGCAAGTTGGACAATATCCCAGAGTAAGGGAGAGATGGGATTTGAGCCAAGGTCTGCCTCTAGGTATAAACCAATAAGTATCTGAGGCAAGTCTCAATCCATTTATTAGGTTGGTGCAAAAGTAATTGCAGTTTTTGCCATTATAAGTAATGGAAAGTTTACTTTGCCAAGGTTAAGGACACACCTGTGACACAGACTCAGGAGTTCCTGAAGACGCGTGCCCAAGATGGTTGAGGTACAGCTTCCTTTTATACACTTTAGGGAGATATAACACATCAATCAATTGAACCATTTACATTGGTTCAATCTGGAAGGGTGGGACAACTCAAAGAGTGGGGTGCTTCTAGGTCATAGGAAGATTTAAACATATTCTGATTGGCAATTGGTTGAAAGACTTATTATCATTAGAAAGAAATGGCTGGGTTACAATAGGGGTTGTGGAGACCTAGGTTTTATATCTCCAAGTAGCAGGCTTTAGAGAAAATAGACTGTAAATGTTTCTTATCAGACTTAAAGTCTGTGTTGATGTTACTGCTGGAAGGGTATAATGAGGCATGTCCAACCCCTACTACCCATCATGGCCTCAACCAGTTAAATTTTAGGGTGCCCTGGCAAAGGAAGGAGACCATTCATATGGTGAGGAGGGCCTTCAACTTTTATTTTTGGTTTACATTCGCAAAGCATGTGCTCTTTGCTTTATACTAGGCTGCCTCCCTGCCATGTTAGAAAGATCTTCTGAATTTATATGAGGTCATGGTTTAGGTGGGATTAGTCAGTTGTATTTTCTCATCAATACATGTATTTTTATTTTTATTTTTTTTGAGATGGAGTTTCAGTCTTGTTGCCCAGGCTGGTGTGCCATGGTGCGATCTTGGCTCACTGCAGCCTCCGCCTCCTGGGTTCAAACGATTCTCCTGCCCCAGCCTCCTGAGTAGTTGGGATTATAGGCGCCTGCCATCATGTCTGGCTAATTTTGTTTTTAAATTATTTTTAGTAGAAACACGGTTTCGCCATATTGGCCAGGCTGGTCTTGAACTCCTGACCTCAGGTGATCTGCCCATCTTGGCCTCCCAAAGTGCTGGGATTACAAGTGTGAGCCGCTGTGCCTGGCCAATACATGTATTTTCCATTCAATACATATGGGGGTTCATTCTCTCACCCCTTATCAGAACAGAGGTCAGGGAGGAGGGGAATGGACCTGCAGGGTGATGGATTAGTATGGGGATTGCAAACTCCATTCCCTACAGGGCAGTTAGGGTAAAAGGGGAAGTAAAATTAGAGCAGGCGCATACTGTCAACAGGGGCAGGAATGTAGGAATGTGGCCCACTGTTTTCAGATATCCCAATTTGTTTAGGGGAGCCCAAAATCTGGATTTTATCTTTCTTTGCAAAATTGTTAATTTTTTATGTTGGGAACTAACTAGAAACTTTTTTTTTTTTTTTTGAGATGGAGTTTCACTCTTGTCACCCAAGCTGGAGTGCAATGGTGCGATCTTGGCTCACTGCAACCTCCGCCTCCCAGGTTCAAGTGATTCTTGTGCCTCAGCCTCCCAAGTATCTGAGATTACAGGCCTGAGCAACCATGCCCAGCTAATTTTTGTATTTTTAGTAGAGACTGGGTTTTGCCATGTCAGGCAGGCTGGTCTCAAACTCCTGACCTTAGGTGATCCACCCACCTCGGCCTCTCAAAGTGCTGGGATTACAGGTGGGAGCCACCATGCCTGGCCCTAACTAAAAACATTTTTAAACACTGTGCAGACTAAATAAATCTGTGGAGTCCATAGGGTCCAGTTTTAGACCCCTGGCTGAGCTCTCCAATGACAGAGTTTGTCTTCAGGGAAGCTTACCCTCAGTGGTGCTGATTCTATGGAAAGTCAATCCTCAAGCTAAGAGGAAATCCCTCCGGGCTGCAGCTAGGAAAAGGAGCAGGCCTTGGATGGGGCACTTCTCTTTCCATCTTCCTTCCCCAGCTAGTCTCACTGGGCCCATCAGTCAACTTTCCATGATGAATGTTTTGTTGGGTTCTGTTCCATGGAGTTAAAGGAGCATGGAGTGTCTCTCATCACAGCCCCTTTTCTAGGAAAATAAATGGCCAACTCCCTGGAGTTGAGGATTTTTTTATGCAATGACTTTCCTCCACGAGATTTATTGCAGCAGCTTTGTGAGAGATTTGTAGTAAGTAGTGTTGAGGCTGTAGGTCTTAAATCTTCAATGCCACAGTCATAACTCTCCAGGAAGGAAATGATAGAAGATCACAGTAGCTAATATTGCATTATGATGATACTGCCTTCCCAGAAATGATTGCAGTCTTGCTGCTGCTGTCTTACTTAGGAAACAGGAGCTCTTCAAATGTGCTTGAGATGTCTGTCCTGGTGGTGCTTTGCACGATCCATGAGAAGCTACAGACTAGGGGAAGAGAGCAAACATTTATGAGCACCAACCATACCTTTTTCACATATGCGGAGACTGAGGCTCAAAGAAATTAAATCATTTTCCCAGGATCTCTAGCTGTAAAACCTCTGATTTGAAAGCAGATCTTGTCTACTATGCCACCTGTAACATGTTTTAATTTTAGATATCTTAGAAGAATATTAATGAGTCAAAGTTGATAGGAGTGAATGGTAAAATATTTTTATTATTTTAGGTTTAACCTCAATCTCTTTCACTTTTATACTTAGTCTACAGTGTACAATAAATAGCTTAAATGATACCATGACGAAACAATCAGACAAACCCAGGCTATGAAAAAAGGACAATTGTCCTGCTCTCTACAAAAGTCAATGTTATAGGGGGAAAAAAAAGTCAGGGAACTGTTTTCTCTTAAAAGAGATTGAAGAGACAACTGAATGTAATGCATGAACCTTAATTGGATCCTTGCTCCAAGGGTGCCAACTGTATAAATCATTTTGGGGGCCGGGCACAGTGGTTCACGCCCATAATCCCAACACTCTGGGAGTCTGAGGTGGGCAGATCGCCTGAGGTCAGGAGTTCCAGACCAGCCTGGCCAACATGGTGAAACTCTGTCTCTACTAAAAGTACAAAAATTAGACTGGCCTGGTGGGGGGTGCCTGTAATCCCAGCTACTCAGGAGACTGATGCTGGAGAATTGCTTGAACCCACGAGGCAGATGTTGCACTGAGCAGAGATCACACCATTGCACTCCAGCCTGGGCAGGCGACAAGAGTGAAACTCCATCTCAAAAAAAAAGAACCAAGATCATTTTGGAAACAACTGAGGAAATGTGAATATGAACTGGATGTTAGGTGATATTTGGGAATTATTATTTGTTGTTTTAAGTTATGACAATAGTATTGTGGTTATTCAGGAAAACAGTTTTATTGTTAGGTGCTAAAGTATTTAGGAGTGAAATATCATGATGTCTGCTGTTTAATTGCCAATGATTGAGAAAAAACTATGCATGTGTATACATGTAAAACCTGGCAAAAGGTTATTCATTGCTGAATCTAGGTGGTTAGTATGTATATGTTCATTATCCTCTTCTTTCAACTTTTCTGTGTGTTTAAAATTTTTCATAGTAAAAAGTGAAAATGTACAAATAAATATTTAATTAGATTAAACTGCTTTAGAATGATAGGGAGGAAGATACACTGAATAGGGTAACTGCATTTTGAAATTCCTGCAGAAGATCAAAACTATGGAATAGCTGAAAATATGTCTTCATTACAGTAAATGTAAAAAATATAAGGATAGGCACATATTATTACAGCCATATAAAGGCACATTTGCAGGTGGACAAGCACTAGAAATACATCAGTTTAGTGGAAATAGAGGTGATCTTTTTTTCAAAATTACTCTTGTTTTATCACCTTTTCCCTTAATAGAATCATCAAAGAGCATGTTCATTGATCAAGGCATTAAAAGATCATAACTCTTTTGCTATGTGGTGGAGTTACAGCTAAATATCTTTCTTTAATTTTTATTTATTAATTTATTTATTTTGTTTTTTGAGACAGGGTGTTGCTCTGTCACCCAGGCTGGAGTGCAGTGGCCAATCTCAGCTCACTGCAACCTCCGTCTCCCGGATTCAAGCGATTCTCCTGCCTCAGCCTCCTGAGTAGCTGGAATTACAGGCACCGCCACCATGCCCGGTTAATTTTTGTATTTTCAGTAGAGACAGGGTTTCACCATGTTGGCCAGGCTGGTCTGGAACTCCTGACCTCAGGTGATCTGCCCGCCTCTGCCTCCCAAAGTGCTGGGATTACAGGTGTGAGCCACTGCACCTGGGCCTAAACATCTTTCTTTTAAAAGTCATCCTTGGCTGAGTGCAGTGGCTCATGCCTGTAATCCCAGCACTTCAGGAGACCGAGGCACACAAATCACGTGAGGTCAGGAGTTCGAGACCAGCCTGGCCAACATGGTGAAACCCCATCTCTACTAAAAATACAAAAATTAGCTGGGCATGGTGGCAGTCACCTGTAATCCCAGCTACTCGAGAGGCTGAGGCAGGAGAATCACTTGAACCGGGAGGTGGAGGTTGTAGTGAGCCAAGATCGTGCCACTACACTCCAGCCTGGGAGATAATGCAAGACTGTCTCAAAGAAAAAAAAAAAAAAAGCCACCCTTGAAGCCCATAGTAAGGAAATATTCTGTATCTTTATAATCAGTAAATGCATTGAATGTATTGCTTTACTAAAAACAAATCAGTGTAAGAACTTCAGCTCTATGAATCTAGTGTGGTTAACAAGATCTGGGGAAAATAACAGTAAGTAAAAAAAATAATTACAGTTACAAATAAAAGAGACTCAGAAAGTTAGTTCAGTTTATGAATGATCAAATAGTTTCAACTGATTATAAAGAACAATTGCCTAAAATGGCTCCAGAAACACAGGCCAGCCACCTGGTTTTGTGAATACAATTTTATGGCGTTCTCATGTTTACATGTTGTCTATGGCTGCTTTCATGATACAATGGCAGGGTTGCGCAGTTTTAATAGAGACCATGTGGCACACAAAGCCTACAATATTAATATCTGCTTGTTAAAGAAAAAGTCTGGCCAGGCGTGGTGGCTCACGCCTGTAATCCCAGCACTTTAGGAGGCTGAGGCGGGCGGATCAACTGAGGTTAGGAGTTGGAGACCAGCCTGACTAACATGGAGAAACCCTGTTTCTACTAAAAATACAAAGTTAGCGAGGCATGGTGGCACATGCCTGTAATCCCAGCTACTCAGGAGGCTGCAGCAGGAGAATCGCTTGAATCCAGGAGGCAGAGGTTGCAGTGAGCCGAGATTGGGCCATTGTAGTCCAGCCTGGGCAATAAGAGCGAAACTCCATCTCAAAAAAAAAAAAAAAAGAAAAAGTTTGTTGACTTCTGGTCTAAAGGTATATATAGGCGTGTACATAAAAAAGGATCAAAAGAGAATATTAAAAAAAAGTTGATTTATTATGGTGGAGAGATTATATATGATTTCTATTCAAATTTTAAATTTTACATTATTACAGTGGGATTTGTTAAATATTTTTAAGAAAAAATAATTGAGAGTTTTTACTGTTTTTACAACGCATAGAATGATGATGGAGAAACAAATAGCAAATATGTACTATAGAGTTGTTAAATCCTGACTTGGAAATTCTAATACTCAGAATTGAACCAGACAAAATAATCAGAAATGCAGGGGGGATTACAAAGGTGGTTCTCATGGGATTGGTCATAATAACAAAAATGGAAATAACAGGGTAACCATTACCCAAATAATGGTATATCTCTATATGATGGAATATTACACAACCATAAAAAATACTTTAGAAAAAGCATTTCTTACTTTTGTAATCAGAAAAAAATAAGATGTTTAAAGGATGCAGTACTACTCACTGACATGGAAAACATTAATAATAGTGATATTGAAGTAAAATAAATTATAGAACATTTCCAAATACTTATTTATAAGTGTCATCTACATGCACTTACAAATACACAGAAAAATATGTCTGGAAGGATATTAAACTATACCATCAACAGTGGTTTAGGAAGTAATATTTGGGTGTACTTTCCCTTTCTCTCTAATACAATTATATTCAGTGGGTTTTGTTTTGTTTTTTTTTTTTTACAGCGAGCATGCAAACCAAGAGAAGAAACATATGCACATTTTTTCTCTAATGGTTATTAAAAGCTATTAAATAATTCAATAAAATGCATATGAAAAGCTGAATGCAAAATTACAGAAGGAATATAACCTCAACTTAAGGAAGAAAACATGCCCAGGAAAAGGATCTAGGAAATGTCAAAGCATTTTATTGCCTCTGGGTGATGACATCATGCATGATTCTTGCCTTATCTTAATGAACATATATTACTTGGATAATCAGGAAAATTTTAAAGTACAAATTTGTTAAAATAACTTTTAAAAAGAAAAGGATATTGTTACAGGCTTTACCAATCCATATTGCTCTCTTGAATCCCTTTATATTTGTCTCCGTTTCTCTCTCTCTGTCTCTCTCTCTGTCACACACACAACCACACACGCACAGTTTGTTCATGGCAAAACAGTGACTTCTATTTTTTTTTTGGAGAGGGGACAGAGTCTTGCTCTATCGCCTAGGCTGGAGTGCAGTGGCATGATCTTGGCTCACTGCAACCTCCACCTTCTGGGTTCAAGCCATTCTCCTGGCTCAGCCTCTCAGATAGCTGGGACTACAGGCATGTGCCACCATGCCCGGCTAATTTTTTTGTATTTTTAGTAGAGATGGGGTTTCACCATGCTGGCCAGGCTGGTCTCCAACTCCTGACCTAAAGTGATCCACCCGCCTCAGCCTCCCAAAGTGCTGGGAATTACAGACATGAGCCACTAGGCCCGGCCGACAGTGACTTCTATCAAACAAATTTTCCATTTCTGTTTCAAATGTCCTGGCCTCCTTCCTTCACAACTCACCAAAATCCCACATGTCATCTGAACTCCACACATAAGAGGGAAAGGAGGAAGAAGAAGACAAAAGCACTCAGGGATATATTACCTGCAAGGCTCCTCAAATTATGGAAAGAATAAAATACCCAAGTCCTTACAATGGCCTACAAGGCGCGCAGGTGCACACACACACACACACACACACACACACACACATACACACCTCTCTAACCTCATCTCTCACCACTCTCTCCATAACTCTTATATTTCCTTCAGTTCCCAACTCAAATATCATCTTATCTAGGAGACCTAACTTTAGCTTTCACCAACTTCACCAACTTGGTTTTGAAACCAAGTTTGACTATATTTGACTATACCTTGAGGTTTAGTCTAAAAGTGCTTTATTAAATTGGAATGAAATCATCAGAAAAAAAAGATCACGTGGTAGTTAGCTTCCAAGATGGCCCCCTGATATTCACACTCTTGGATAGTCCCTTCCCACACTAAATAGGGCTGACCTGTTAGCTAATAGGACACTGCAGAAACGACAAAGTGTGGCTTCCAAAGCTAGGTCATAAAAGACATTGAGGCTTCTGCGTTGCTCTCTTAGATCATTCGCTCTGGGGGAGTCAGCCACCATGCCAAGAAGAACACCCAGGATCCCTACAGAAAGACCCATGTGGTAAGGAACTGAGCCCCGACCTGCCAACAGGCTGCATCAACTTGCCATTCATGTATGTGAGCTGTGTTGGAAGCAAATTGCCTGGCTCCAGTCAGATCTTCCTATGACTGTAGTCCTGGCCAACATTTTGACTGAATTTCCTGAGTCACCTTGAGCGAGAACCATCCAGCTAAGCTGCTCCCAAATTCTTGACCTACAGAAACTACAAGAGATAATAAATGCTTATGTCATTTTAGCCAAGTCTCAGGATGAAACATCTCTCCTTTCTGCTCCTGTTCCTGCATGGGGACCCAGGAAATTTGGGCTGGCTGTACCTACCCTACCCTGACTGGGTAAATGGGGCAGAACAGTTTATATCTAAAGTTTATCTGAACAAGTCTTCCTTGACGTGTTTGGTGGGTCAGATTTTGCAACCCAAACTATTACTATGGTAGATGGCAGCCCCATTTCCACAAAGAAATAACAATTTCCAGGTAGAGAGAGTCATTCTTGACCCCATGCCCTGACTGCTTCATCACCATTGTTCCTTAGTTCTGTCTCAGCACTTTTCTGCCTCCATCAACCAGCTCAAATTCCACCAAGAAGCACTCTCAGTATATAAAGTATGAGCCATAATTTTAAGAGCATGTATGCTATGTATCTCTGTACATATGTTGTATGTGTTCATATATCTCTGTATGTATGTATGTTGCATGTATATCTGTATATACTTTGTGCTTGTATGTATGTTGCATGTGTCTATTTTTGTCTTGCTGCATGCACATGTGTATATCTGTATTTTGTATGTATATGTATGTCGTGTATGCATATCTTGTGTATATCTGTATTATGTTCTAAGTATATCTGTGTATTGTATGTTGTGTGTGTCTGATGTGTGTGTGTCTGTATGTTGTGTATATCTGTATTATGTTCTAAGTATGTCTGTGTATTGTATGTTGTGTGTGTCTGATGTGTGTGTGTCTGTATGTTGTGTATATCTGTATTATGTTGTGTATGTATCTGTATTTGTGTGAATATCTGTATGCATGTTGTGTGTGTTTCTGGTGTGTATGTGTCTGTATATTGTATATGTTTATCTGGTGTGTGTGTGTGTGTGTGTGCGTGTGTGTGTGTGCATGCATCTGGCCTTTACTATCCTGGGATTCGTACAATTTCCCTTCATAAGAACATTATCAATACAACTGATTCTTTATTTTCATAAGTGTGCTACAGTTACATAAGATGTTAACCTTAGGGAAAGCAGGTGAGAGGTATAGAAAAACTCTTTTGTGAATTAAAATGTTTCAAAATAAAGAGTTTTTTTAAAAAAGCAGCTTCCCGGATTAGTAGGAAAGTCAACCTTCCCCTTTCTTAGATCTAAAACATCCCAGGAGTGCTTAATTTTTGTCCAAGGCACCATCCTGATTGTAATTTCCTCTCCAGTGGAGTTGGAGTCAGGCCTGATGGTTTCACAACCATAGCCCAGATGGACAACCCTCTAGCTTGCCAAATGGACATTCCTATTTGCTGAACCTACAGGGTGACTGCCAGCAATCCAGATCCCCTTCCAGACTTGTGTCCTAAAACACTCAAAGGAAGATAAAAATAAAAGAGAATTCTTAGAAAAAGACAAGGAAAGAAAGACAAATTGAAGGGCCAATGGCTAATTTGGGCAGAACTACATGTTTAAGGACCCATGGGAGGCAAGATGAGGCCTCTGCCTGATGTTGAGTCTCCAGATCTAGGGTGGGCTGAGGGAGGGGTCCAGAGGAAGAGGCACAGAAAACTGAATGGCAGACTCAGGCCTTAGATATTCAAATCCTCCCTAGGACTGTGTGTGTTGCCATGGACTCCACATTTTACAGAGAGCTATTTGGGGTTTAAATATTCTTCCCCCTTCACCACTCCACAAATCAACTAAGACTCATTTGGGCAGGAGTGGATCTGCCCTGCCCTGCCTTGCTAGGCTGGAAACAAAGTGCTCAGCTCCTGGGGAGAGTGGGGTTTGTCCTTGCTCTCCGCTCACTAAGCAACCTGTTGATGAGCTTATAATTACCAGAACTGTGTGCTACAGAATGAATGTTCTTGGAGATTGTAATGATCGAAGTGAATGAACATGCTTCAACATTTGGAAACGTGCTTGAGAAGAATAATTGCTTTAAAGTGCTTCATAAATTGTTGCTAGGAGACCACATCAAGATAGGCCTTTTTACTTACAACTTGAAGTTCAACTGGCAGGAAATTCACCCATTCAAAATATAGATAAGCAAATAGAACAATTCAAAAAAGGAAGAATGAAAGACAGAAACCTGCCAGCTATTAGAGAAAATCTTCCACCAAAAACATAATGGAGAACAAGAGCCAAGACAATGTTGCTGGTCTTTATGGATTTGCATCTTCGTTCTTACGGGTTATGTGTTCTTGGGCAATTTCTTTGCATGTCTCATATTTTCAGTTTTCTCATCTAAAAAAAGTGGAGATATCAATAGCTCACTCATAGGATTAGAGATGACTCACATGTGGATGTATCCAGCACATAATGCTCAATATTTACTTATTTACACACACTTGTTCCAAAGCGTTTTGAGGTCACTTACAAAATTATTTCCTGACTAGTTTGTGTTGTCCCAAAAGCAGGCTCTGACACAATAAATTGGGTTTAGGTGGCTTATTTGGGAAGTGATTGCAGGAAACTTAAGTGAAATAGTGGAGAAAGGAAGACTGAAAAGGAACAAAAGTTCAAAGTTGCATCAGTGAGTAGGAAAGTCCAATACCAATAAATCCTACAGGGAACCCTCTGAAGCTCCATGGAGGACATGCCGCAGGATTATCCTGCCAAGGGATGGGGAAGCTGAGGGATGTGTCCACTGACTCTCATTTCTCAGGGGTCAAGGGTTGCACCTGGGGATCTTAAGTTCCCAGTACCTCCACAATGTCCTGAGCAGTCTGATAATTTCTGGTAGAACAGGAGCAAACCCTCTGGGTGAAGAGTAGGGAGCCACAAGCACATGAGGTAGGCACCTGTCCACGTGGCCAGGAGCTGACCCACTCAAGCTGCATGTGAACTCAAAGGTGGGCCAGAGTGATACAGGGCTAGGTATCAACAGAATCTGCTACACTTAGGATTCAACGAGGTAAAATTAGTTGATGAAGAAATTGAGGTCAAATAGAAACAAATACTCTGTGTTACTGAATCTTTAAAAAAAAAAAAGATTATTTTGTAGAAAGGCTGGCTGTAATGACTGACGACATTTTTTTTCTCTTTTCTAGACTTCTAATCAACACACTAGCCTGGAATTTGAGCAAGGATTCAATATTGCTGTGGGCAATATATGGTTAGGCAAATCCTTCATATATGTCAGTCCCATGTTGACCCAACTCTAGGGAATCTGGAACATTCTTATGGCGTTCAACTATGTTTGGACTTTAGGCCTGAAGCATTAAATTTGAAGTTTGGGCACCAAATAATAGTTGGAAATTACGTTCCCATTCTGCATGGATCAGGAAGGAAGTACATCAGCTACTTTCCTATCCAGCAGACCCTTCCCTGCTTGATAGCTGTTTGCCATCTGAACCAATAACAAGCCAGCAGGGCTCAGACTTGGCATTCCCTAGCATGGAAGAAGAAAAGCAATAAAAAATGTTAACCTCTAAAGTTTTTTCAACATGTCAGTTCCCCCCTTAGCTCTGGGAAGGGCATTAGCAGCACCATCATGCCCCATAGGAATGGAAAGCCATGTTGATGGCATAGACCAATAACAAGGGAATAGAGCAACGCAATATGACAGGAGCAGGCAGAAAGGCTGGCAATCCCTCCGCCAGACTCCCAACCTCCCAGCCCCCTTTCCAGGAATCATAAAGGTGAGATATGAAAATATGAGAAAGGATGAATGAAAAACAAGCAGGAGAAAGACCACCAGATATTATATGCCCCTGATGGAAGAACACAACACCACTTACGAAGTAGTCTGGCTAAAAAATTGAACCTGGGTCTGATATAGACTCTAGTTTTAATTACCAATGAACAGGAAATGCAAGGAACGAAGGAACATGTTAAATACCACTACAGGGATGAATGCAAAAACTCCAGACTGTGGGAAACTACTGAACAGAATCAGGTTTCCTCAACAAATACAGAGAAATCTATAGATTAAAAGAGACCTAAAAGATATATTGACTGGCTGGGCGTGGTGGCTCACGCTTGTAATCCCAGCACTTTGGGAGGCCGAGGTGGGCCTATCACGAGGTCAGGAGTTTGAGACCATCCTGGCTAACACAGTGAAACCCCGTCTCTACTAAAAATACAAAAATTAGCTGGGCATGGTGGTGGGTGCCTGTAATCCCAGCTACTCTGGAGGCTGAGGCAGAAATGCTTGAACCTGGGAGGCAGAGGTTGCAGTGAGCCAAGATCATGCCACTGCACTCCAACCGAGGCGACAGAGCTAGATTCGTCTCAAAACAAACAAAAAAAAGACATATTGACCGACGGCAATGTGTGAATCATATTTAAACAATGAAAATTATTTCAATCTTCCTTCAAACAAATTACGTAAAAAATAATGAGGCTGGGGGTGGTGTGGTAACAAATCATGTAAAAAATAATGAGGCTTCAGGAGGGTGAAGCAAGGGGATCCCTTTAGCCCATGAGTTCTAGACCCGGGCAGCATGGTGAAACCTTGTCTCTACAAAAAACGCAAAAATTTGCCGGGAATGGTAGCGTGCAACTGTAGTCCCAGCTACACGGAAGGCTGAGGTGGGAGAGTCTGAGCCTGGGAAGGTCGAGGGGCTGCAGCAAGTGGTGATTGCACCACTGCACTCCAGCCTGGGCAACAGAATAAGACCCTATCTCAAAATAAATAAATACATACAATAAAATATAATGAGTTTAAGAGAAAGGAAATTTAAACACTGGCTGAATATTATGATATTACGAATAATATGATATTGTTAATTATTTGGGTCATGTAATAGTGGTCTTATTTAAAACTTTTTTTTTATTTCAATAGCTTTGGGGCTGCAAGTGGTTTTTGATTACATGGATGAATTGTATAGTGGTGAAGTCTGAGATTTTAGTGCACCCATCACCTGTGTAGTGTACATTAGACCCAATAGGTAGTTTTTTTTATCCTTTGTGCCCTCTTACACCCTTCTCCTTCTGAGTCTCCATAGTCCATTACATCACTCTGGATGCCTCTGTGTACCCATAGCTTAGCTCCCACTTATAAGTGAGAACATATAGTATGTGATTTTCCATTCCTGAGTTATTTCATTTAGAATAATGACCTCCAGCTCCATCAAAGTTGCTGCAAAAGACATTGTTTTATTTTTTTATGGCTGAGTAGTATTCCATGGTGTATATACACCACATTTTCTTTATCCGCTCAATAATGGTACTTTTTTTTTTTTTTTTTTTTTGAGACACAGTCTTGCTCTGTCACCCAGGCTGGAGTGCACAATCTCGGCTCACTACAGCCTACGCCTCCCAAGCAATTCTCGTGCCTCAGCCTCCCAAGTAGCTGGGATTACAGCTAATTTTTGTATTTTTAGTAGAGATGGAGTCTCACTATGTTGGCCAGGTTAGTCTCAAACTCCTGACCTTAGGTGATCTGACCACCTTGGTCTCTCAAAGTGCTGGGATTACAGGCATGAGCCACCACATCCGGCCTAATGGTACTATTTTTAAATAAAAATAATCTTGCCAGTGTTGGCCAGGTGCAGTGCCTCACACCTACAATCCCAGCACTTTGGGAGGCCGAGGCGGGCGGATCACCTGAGGTTGGGAGTTCGAGGCCAGCCTAACCAAAATGGAGAAACCCCCGTCTCTACTAAAACTAGAAAATCAGCCAGGTGTGGTGGTACATGCCTGTAATCACAGCTACTCGGGAGGCTGAGGCAGGAGAATCACTTGAACCCAGGATGCGGAGGTTACGGTGAGCCGAGATCATGCCATTGCACTCCAGCCTGGGCAACAAGAGTGACACTCTGTCTCAAAAAATAATAATAATAGTAATCTATATCTTTAAAAGATTGATTCTTAAATATTAATGGTGAAATTATATAATGTCTGGAACGTTCAAGAACACGGGCGGTGGGGATGGGTGGGCAGCCTTGTTCATGGTCTCATGAGTAACACCTGGGGTTCTTAAAATGATTTTGTCCACTTTTGTATCTATTTCAGATTCTCAAGAAAAAGGTAAAATACAAAACAAAGTAACAACAAACCCAACAGGTAAGTGGGCTACCTTCAAAACGTGGCCAGCAGGCATATGAAGTCTGTTTCACCAGAAGGCATATTTTGGATGTGGGGATGTGTTCTGCTTGTGAGGAAGCTTTGGCTTCTCAGCTCTGAAAAGAATCAGGAAAAGGTCCAGAGTGGAGGAAGCAAGATGCCGCTCCTTAGATTGATGCTTGATCTCAAGGATCCAGCCTCTGCCACATGGCTCTCTCTGAAAGGACCTGCTTAAGGTTCTTCATTAAAACACATTTTCTACTGCAGATGCATGAGAGAGTGCTGTGAGTTACTACTGCAGGCATGGCTACATTCATGATTATGATTGAGACAGAGTGGAATTAATAAAACAATTTGGGCCTGGCACAATGGCTCATGCCTGTAACCCCAGCTCTTTGGGAGGCCAGTGCCGTTGGATCACTTGAGCCCTAGAGTTTGAGATCAGCCTGAGAAACATGGCAAAACCCCATCTCTACAAAAAAATACAAAAATTATTGAGGCGTGGTAGTGTGCACCTGTAGTTCCAGCTACTCGGGAGGCTGAGGCAGGAAGATGGCTTGAGCCCAGGAGGTTGACACTGCAGTGAGCCATGATCACACAACTGCACTCCAGCCTGGGTGACAGAGTGAGACCTTGTCTCAAAAAAATTAAAAAAAAATAATAACAATAAAATAATTTGGAGCCATTTAAGTTTTACTGTACTGAAACTACATCATAAAGCTAAAAACAATTACCAATAGTAATAATAATAATGGAAGCTACCATTTATTGAGACCTGACTTTAGGCTTTGATTACTATCTCTGATTTACAGATAAGGAAAGGGAGACATAGAGAGGTTATATACTTTACCCAAGATGGAAGAGCTGAGATGTGGATGAACTGGAATTCAAACCCACTGTGTTAGTTTTCTAGGGCTTCTATGACAAAGGAACACAGATTGGATGATCTAGACAACAAAAATTTATTTTCTCACAGTCTTGGAGGCTAGACAGCTGAGATCAAGGTGTCGGCAGGGTTGGTTCCTCGTGAGGGCGATGAGGGAGGGATCTGTTCCAGGCCTCTCTCCTCGGCTTGTAGATGGCTTTTCCCTGTGCCTTCACATACTCTTTTCTCTTTATGTGTCTGTGTCCACATTTCCTATTCTCATAAGGATACCAGTCACATTGGATTAGGGCCCACCATAATGACCTCATTTTAATGTAATTACCTTTTTAAAAACTCTGTCTCTGGCTGACTATTAGCTCATTACCTGTAATCCCAACACTTTGAGAGGCCAAGGTAGGAGTTTGAGACCAGCCTGGACAACATAGGGAGAGCAAGCCTCTACAAAAAATTTAAAAATTCACCAGGTGTGGTGGTGCCCACCTGTAATCACAATTACTTGGGAGGCTGAGGTGGGAGGATAGCTTAAGCCAGAAGGGGTTGAGGCTGCAATTAAGCCATGATCATGCCACTGCACTCCAGCCTGGGCAACAGAGTGAGACCCTGTCTCAAACAAACAAACAAACAAACAAAAACCCTATCTTCAATTATGGTTGCATTCTGAGGTACTTGGGGTTAGGATTTCAACCTGTAAATTTTGAGACAGTACAGTTCACTGTGTACCCCTCTGTAGCCTGCTTCCAGAATGCTCAGCCCTCACTCTTTTCACCAAATTCTCTACCACCAAAGGGACAATGGCCTGGGTAAAACCGCAGGTGCGCTCGCTCATATTTTGAGTCATAGGAGTATGCCAAGTATGGCCTCTCAAAGCATTGTTGCTGTCCATTAAAAGTCCATGGGTTATGGTTGAGGGAGCCTCCTAACATCTTGTGAACTGAGTGAAAAGAAACAAACATTTATTTGGGCGTTGGATTGACAGGGTGGTTCTCCTGCACATGCCTTGGTCCCAGTGAAGTTATGGTCGCTAAATCCTCAGGAACATTGCCTTCTCTGTTATCTTCGTCGTCTTTTTTTTTTTTTTTTTTTTTTTTTTTTTGAGATGGTGTCTTGCTCTGTTGCCCAGGCTAGAGTGCAGTGGCACGATCTTGGCTCACTGCAACCTCCACCTCCTGGGTTCAAGCAATTCTCCCTGCCTCAGCCTCCTGAGTAGCTGGAATTACAGGCACCTGCCACCACGCTTGGCTAATTTTTGTATTTTTAGTAGAGACGGGGTTTCGCCATGTTGGCCAGGCTAGACATGAACTCCTGACCTCAAGTGATCCACATGCCTTGGCCTCCCAAAGTGCTGGGATTACAGGCGAGAGCCACAACACTTGGCCTTCTTCTTTTTCTATATCTTCAGTGTCTCACTCTCTACTCCCTTTCCCCAAAAGCCTATAAACATCCTTCTTAAAGACAAAAGCAAATTTGTTTACCACATGTTCCCTTGTCCCCCTCCAGTGACTGCTTCTTGTTCTTCACTTCTTATACAAACTTTCCAAAGGATCCATCTGCATTCACTCTTCCCACTGTCCTTCCTCCTGTTCAATCCTTGACTTCTCACAATAAAATCCCCTCCCACCTTGCTTCTCATGTCCTAATTTCTAAATCCACTATTAGTCACTAATTGATCGTTTTTACTTTATTTCTTTGTCATATTTGGCCTTCCCTTTCTTGAAACTCTCCTCCATTGATGATATTGGTCAGGGTAGACCAAATTATGTAGCAGTAACAAATTAACCCCCTATCTCAGTGGCTTAGCACAACAAACATTTACTTCTCACTCATGCAAAAGTGAATGGCCTAGGGCTTTCCATGTGGTTACTCCATGATCCAGGTTACTTCCATCTTGCGGCTCTGTCAAGTCAAAAACAGGCCTCTGGGCCAGGCACGGTGGCTCACGCCTGTAATCCCAGCACTTTTGGAGGCCGAGGTGGGCGGATCACGAGGTCAGGAGATCGAGACCATCCTGGCTAACACAGTGAAACCCCGTCTCAACTAAAAATAAAAAAAATTAGCCAGGCGTGGTGGCGGGCGCCTGTAGTCCCAGCTACTCGGGAGGCTGAGGCAGGAGAATGACATGAACCTGGGAGGCGGAGCTTGCAGTGAGCCGAGATCGCGCCACTGCACTCCAGTCTGCGTGACAGAGCAAGATTCCGTCTCAAAAAAAAAAAAAAAAAAAAAAACAACGGCCTCTGTGGTTGCTAAGACAGAGGAAGATATAGCTGTAGGGTCACGCACCAGCTCTTAAATGCTTCTATGCAGAAAAGACACATACCCCTTCTACTCAGAGCACATTGCCAGAACTAGCCACTTGACCCTACCTTCTAGAAGGGGAACTGGGAAATGTGGAAGAGCTCATGCAAATGCGGTGAAGAATAATTATTTCCAGGCGGTCGTGGTGGCTCACGCCTGTAATCCCAGCACTTTAGGGGGCCAAGATGGGCAGATCACTTGAGGTCAGGAGTTCGAGATCAGCCTGGCCAACAAGGTGAAACCCCATCTCTACTAAAATACAAAAATTAGCCGGGCATGGTGGTGCGTGCCTGTAATCCCAGCTTGTCAGTAGGCTGAGGCAGGAGAATTGCTCGAACCCAGGAGGAGGAGGTTGCACTGGGTCGAGATTGCATCACTGCACTCCAGCCTGGGTGACAGAGCAAGACTCCCTCTCAAAAAAAGGGAAAAAAAAGAATAAGCATTTCCATTATAAGAATTTCTGTAATAATTTTTTATCTCCCAATTTTCTTCCTACATCTTCAACTCTTCCTTCAAGAGCAACTCTTTTCCGTATCTACCTCACTAATGTTAGCATTTTTCATGGTTTTATCCTCCACCCTCTTCTACATACTCTCCCTATAAGAGCACCTCTACACTCACATCTGAAAGATCATCTGTAGACTTTTTACTTCCAACCCACAGTCTCCATGTTAGAGATCTAGGTCTATAGTGAGCATAATCCATCCAGTAGCAGCCTGGTAGGTATCTCTTCTGATGTTCCATAGGCTACTGAAACTCAGGGAACTGATAATCTCCCTTTCCCCTCTAAAAACAAACTTATTCTTCCTCCTGTTTTTCATAGGATCCAAGCTGTTACCAAGGACAGAAACTCGGGGTCATCCTTGATACTTTTTTCTAACAATTTTTTCAACAAACGAATCAATCACCAAGTCCAGTAAATTCTACTTTATAAATATCTCTAGATTAGGGTCCTTCTCTCAATCCCTATTGCAATTACATTTTCCTCAGGCTTTCACTATCTCCATCTTGATTGCTCTATTAACCTCCTCACTCACTCATTTCTCTGTCTTATTGTACCACCCTCCAACTGTTCATTTCTGGATAGGATACATTTTAAAAATCCACTGGCCGGGCACGATGGCTCATGCCTGTAATCTCAGCACTTTGGGAGGCCTAGGCAGGTGGATCACCTGAGGTCAGGAGTTCAAGACCAGCCTGGCCAACATGGTGAAACCCCATCTCTACTAAAAATACAAAAATTAGCCAGGTGTTGTGGCAGACACCTGTAATCCCAGCTACTTGGGAGGCTGAGGCAGGAGAATTGCTTGAGCCCAGAAGGCAGAGGTTGTAGTGAGCCGAGGTCGCACCATTGCACTCCAGCCTGGGTGACAGCGCGAGACTCGGTCTCCAAAAAAAAAAAAAATCCACTGAGGTCAGACGCGATGGCTCACACCTGTAATCCCAAAACTTTGGGAGGCCTCGGCAGGCTTGTCACCTGAGGTCAGGAGTTTGAGACCAGCTTGTCCAACATGGCAAAACCGCATGTCTACTAAAAATACAAAAATTAGCTGGGCGTGGTGGCGGGTGCCTGTAATCCCAGCTACTCAGGAGGCTGAGGCAGGAGAATCACCTGAACCCAGGAGGCAGAGGCTGCAGTGAGCTGAGATCACACCACTGCACTCCAGCCTGGGTGACAAGACCAAGACTCTGTCTCAAAAGAAAAAAAAATCCATTGAATACCTACTATGTCCCCTGGACAATACGCTATGGGCAGAGATGAAAGATACAGCTTTTCCCCACAAGGTGCTCACAATGTAGTGAGGTGGAGAAATAAACAATTGAGGCCGGGCGCGGTGTCTCACACCTGCAATCTCAGCACTGTGGGAGGCCGAGGCGGGAGGATCACGAGTTCAGGAGATCGAGACCATCCTGATTAACACGGTGAAACCCCATCTCAAGTAAAAATACAAAAAATTAGCCCGGCATAGTAGCGGGCGCCTGTAGTTCCAGCTACTCGGGAGGCTGAGGCAGGAGAATGGCGTGAACCCGGGAGGCGGAGCTTGCAGTGAGCCAAGATCACGCCCCTGCACTCCAGCCTGGGTGACAGAGTGAGACTCCGTCTCAAAAAAAAAAAAAACTGAAACACTGACAGGTCAATACTTTGAGAACCCAGAAGATGGGCACGTAAACCAGGGAGATCTTTATAAGAGGCAAATTTAGTCATGCTTTCCACCAGCTTTAAATTCTTCCATGGTTCCCCAGTACCTTTAGATGAAGTTTAGAGTCCTCAAATGGCAAGCAAAGCCATTCAGATCTTTGAGACCCTCATCTCCTGCCTCAGTTGCCCTGTACTCTCATGCCTCTGCCTCTTCACATAGGCTAATCCTTCTGCCCAGAAAAACCTTTCTTCACAATCTTTCCATATACTCTTCACCTTTCAAAGCTCATAGCAAGAACCATGTCCTTGTGCAAGCCTTCCCTAACCTGCCAGCTTCTTCTGAGCTTCCTACTACCCTAATTTTATGACTGTATTCTAATGCTCTCTCTCCAAGTGCAAGGGGGATGCAGCATCTTACTCCCTTTGGAATCTCCAGCACTGGGTCAGGCACACCACGGAGCTGAGAGAAATTTTCAGCCATTTGCTCCTCTGCCTCACTCAAATCCCACAGCACAGGCACACACCCTGAATGGTGATTGTGTGCCTGGACTTTGAACAATCCCTGTGGCCTTGTCCTCCAGCCTTTATAAATTGTTGATTTCCATTGTCTAATCATCCTCTGACTTGTGGCTGCCCAAGCCCTGGGCACCATGCCCGTTTCTGCAAGCCTGCTGGTACCCTCAGCCTGCCTGTCATGTCACAGTGTGATAGAATAATTCTCCTTTTACCTGCCTTTACCCAGTGCCCTTTCTGTATCACAGTGTGGGGGTGGGTGTAGTGTGTTTGTACGTGTATGGGTGTGTGTGTGTGTGTGAGAGAGAGAGACAGAGACAGAGAGAGAAGGGATGTTGTGAGCCAAACTTCAGAGATAGTGTTCAGCTTCAGCCCAGATAGCAAACTCAACCTCTTCACGAATCTTCACAGATAATCATGCATACTAGACATTCATTAGCTTAGTATATCTTATGAGAATTTGTGCACTGACACAAAAGTTTCCATTGTGCAGCAGATACCTTTCTGCCAGTGTTGTGGTTGCATTCTTTCCCCCATCTCCCTGCCCTCCCCCTTCTTCACTGTCTCTTAGGAGCAATACAATTCCTCTCCTTGTCTCATGCAAAGCAGTTTAGCAAACATTTTTTTCTTGATGGAGAAGGCCCTTGAGACTTTACCTTCCACCCCAAATGTCATTTCAAAGTATTTTTTCTAATCAAATAAAGGGCTCTCCCTCAGACGGTTCTGGTAACCAACATTTTCTCCACCTCATTACTTGCAAGTCTTCACAGTTCCGCCATTTGGCTATGGCTAAAGTTCATCCCTCAGGCCCCAAACAAGAAGAGTTGACAATTAGTAGAGTACAGGGCTTACTCACAGGACACCATCTGTATTAGTCCATTCTCATACTGCTAATAAAGACATACCCAAGACTGGGTAATTTATAAAGAGGTTTAATTGACCCACAGTTTTGCATGGCTGGGGAGGCCTCAGGAAACTTACAATTATGGCAGAAGAGGAACCAAACACATCCTTCTTTACATGGTGGTAGGAGAAAGAAGAATGAGGGTTTTATAAGGGGGAAGGCCCTTATGAAACCATCAGATCTCGTGAGGACTTACTATCACGAGAATAGCACAGGGGAAACCATCCGCATAATTCAATTACCTCCCACTCTGTCCCTGCCATGACACAGGGGGATTTGGGAACTACAATTCAGCAAAATCCTGTCTCTACCCCCCAAAATATAAAAATTAGCTAGGTGTGATGGTGCATGCCTGTAGTCCAGCTACTCAGGAGGCTGAGGTGGGAGAATTGCTTCAGCCTGGGAAGTGGAGGTTGTAATGACCAGTGATCACATCACTGCTCTCTAGCCTGGGTGACAGACTGAGACTCCATCTCAAAAAAAAAAAAAAATTATCTCTCATTAAAATCCCTCAGGTGAGATTTTGATAAGGATTTCAAAGTACTGCATAGCCATCTTTGGAGTGTTAAGTCCTGATGAGAGAACTTCAAATCTAACTTATCTTCCCCAGGATATATATTAGAAGTCACTCGAGCACATATGTATCATGCCAAGTATTAAAAGTATTTGCAAATACAAGGCTGGGTGTGGTGGCTCATGCCTGTAATCCTAGCACTTTGGGAGCCTGAGACAAGCGGATCACCTGAGGTCAGGAGTTGGAGACCAGTCTGGCCAACACGGTAAAACCTCATCTCTACTAAAAATACAAAAATTATCTGGGCATGGTGGCATGTGCCTGTAATCCCAGCTACCCAGCAGGAGAATCGCTGGAACCTGGGAGGCAGAGGCTGCAGTGAGCTGAGTTTGCACCACTGCACTCCAGCCTGGGCGACAGACCGAGGCTCTGTCTCAAAAAAAAAAAAAAAAAAAAAAATCTTTTCAAATACAGACAATGTAACGTTAAAAAATATATATATATTCCATGATGGGACAGGAACTGTAGAGTTATAAGGAAAAAGTAAAAGTCCCCTTTTGGTAGTGGCAGTAGCAGGAATTCAAGTGGGAGAACACTAAGGGGAAAGGGGAGAATGCACAGGTGGGGTTGGAGTGTGGCAAAAGGTCCATTGATCATCTGGAACTTTCCTCTGCTTCAACATGAAATGACTTGTGTTTGTTTTTGTGTCAGAGGCTGTTCTATCATCAGTGGACTTGAAAGAACTAATTTCAGCTCTCTTTTTATAACGCCTCATTTTAGAAGGAATGGTTTCTTCTTCTGCTGTCAGCACAAATGTAAAAATTAGGAACGTATCTGATTGCACCTGTAGTTACCCACTTGCAGCCACAATTAGCCATAAGCACCATCTGAAAATGGCAAAAGCCATTAAGCATGCCTGCAATTAAGTAATTGTGGGCATCATTAGTTGCATCGTTAGTCACACGAGTAAGTTTTATGGTCACCACGGCTACCTCTTGATACCAAATTACCCACCCAACAAGGGAGCACTAGAGCAGCAAGCTGACCCCCCTTCCTTCTCCAATTTTGTGAAAATTGCATGCTTTTTTTCCAATTATTTCACACAAATGAATGGGGAATGTTTGGAAATACAAACTATGTCAAGCAAAAAAGAAATGGTCACCCTGGGTTCTGTGTGTAAATTGTTCATCTTTTATTGTTGTTGTCGTTGTTGTCATTTGACATACAACAAAGCAAAGTAAGCTATCTTTTTTTTTCTGGTAGAATAACTCACTTGTGGTATATAGGTGACAATATAATCTTTCACTTGTACATTTCTGTATATAGTTTATTTCACACCATAGTTATCATTTCCCAATTTGAATATCTGCTACAAATTTTCAACTAGAGAGCTTTACATCCTGTTAGAATTGAAATGTTTAGATCTTTTTCCCAGAGGATTTTAGTCTGGAAGGAAAATGGGCCCAGAGACCTAGGAAGATAGTCTGCCTAGAGAATGATGATCTGTGGAAATGTCATTGAGAAATGTATTCTTAATGAATCACTAGCCTGAGAATGAAACATAATGTTCTTCTAAATCCCAAGAAATAGATACTCATATAACAGATCAGAGTAGGGCAGAGAGATGCATACTTTAATTTATATTTATTTATATTGTATGTTCAAGGGACTTGATATGACAACAGATTAATCATCCTTTTCTAAGTAGCATGTTGCAGATTTACCCATCCCAGAGATGAGTAGCTAGGCCCTATCAATTCCATTTGAGAGTTTAGAAAGTATGGAATAGAATAAGTAGCTCACAGTCTCCCATCTGTCTATTGGCCTCATTTGCCGTTTGGAGAGAGGAAATATTCCATCAGACTTTCTGACCCTAGTAACCTTAGACAAAAAAAGGGAAATCTGTCTCTAGAGCAGTGCTGTCCAGTGGAACTTTTTGTGATGATGGAAATGCTCCATGTCTGCACTGTCCAACATACAATCACTAGCCACTTGTGGCTAGTGTGTGCTTGAAATGGGACCAGTATGGCTGAGGAACTAAATTTTTAATTTTATTTATTTATTTTTGAGATGGGGTCTTGCTCTGTCACCCAGGCTGGAGTACAATGGCACTATCTCAGCTCACTGTAACCTCTCCCTCCTGGGTTCCAGCGATTCTCCTGCCTCAGCCTCCCAAGTAGCTAGGATTACAGGTGCATGCCACCACACCCGGCTAATTTTTATATTTTTAGTAGAGACAGGGTTTCACCATGTTGGCCAGGCTAGTCTCGAACTCCTGACCTCAGGTGATCCACCTGCCTCGGCCTCCCAAAGTGCTGGGATTACAGGCATGAGCCACAGTGCCCAGCCATTGATTTTAGTTAACTTAATTTTTTTTTTTTAAGACAGGGTCTCGCTCTGTTGTCCAGGCTGGAATGCAGTGGCGCGATCTCGGCTTACTGCAACCTCCGCCTCCTGGGTTCAAGCGATTCTCCTGCCTCAGCCTCCTGAGTAGCTGGAACTACAGCCACGCACCACCATAGTTAAATTTAAATAGCCACAGGAGGCCAGCAGCTACTGTATTGCACAATGCAGCTCTAAAATACATGGCTACCGTCAGAAAAAGGGGCCAATTGCAGTGGATCCAAATCTGATCAAAAGTGTGATAAATGGGTGGCAAAGTATTTAAATCCAAATTCACAGGCTGTAGTCTTGGCTTCACTGCTTACTAGCTACATAATCTTGGATGAAACACTTCTCAAGTTGCATTTAAAGCTATCATGTTGGAGGTAGTGTGGAGATTGGAGAGAAATCAGAGATGACGGTGAACCAGCTTGTCTTCCTTTTGCCTGGATGTCTATGCTCTGTACCATAGAAAGCTGTTCAGGGAAAAACACTGAAGGCCTTCCACCTTTATATATGATATTGCTTATAAAACAGACCAGAGCTTATTTTCCACCAGCTGGTTCTGAGATATTGGTATCCTTTAATTATTATGCTAAGAATGGACATTGATTCAATTTCTACTTGATTGAATGACTTCAGTGGCAGAGTTCCCAAAGGACATGCATTCATGCTGATAATGATGCTTGGAAACCCCAGATACATTCTGCTGGTTTGCTTTCTTTACTCTCTGCTATTCTAGGGAAAAAGAAAGGATTGGGCAGTAGAATAGCTTTTATTTGTTCATTCAACAACATTTATGACACTACTGTGTCTTAGAAATGGTGGTTGGTGCTGCAAAAGTCCATCCAGAAGCCAGATGCTATACTACATGGGAGTATTGTGGGTTAAAAAAAAAAAAAAAAAAAAAAAAGCACTGGGCTTCAAGTCAGAAGACCTGAGTTCAAGTTACGACTTTGCTGGTAATTATCACTGTGTTTTGGAGACAAAGGCCTCATCTGGAAAATTATTGAAATGCCCTTGAGCTGGAAAAAATCTCTGATTCCATGAAAGGTTAGATCTCCATTAGCATGACTAAGGCCTGCTGCCTGACCTTAGAGAACTATCCAGCAAGCAGAAAAACACGCCTTCGCCCTCAGAATTCAACACGCATATCCCTTCCTGGATTCAGGCTGAGAAGATCAAATTAAAGTAAGATACACCAAAAGGAGCTTTTTATTTTATTTTATTTATTTATTTTTTCAAGACAAGATCTCCCTCTGTCACCCAGGCTGTAGCGCAGTGGCGCGATCTCCACTCACTGCAACCTCCACCTCCCAGGTTCAAGTGATTCTCCTGCCTCAGCCTCCCAAGTAGCTGGGACTAAAGGCATGTGCCACCACGCCCAGCTAAGTTTTGTATTTTTAGTAAAGATGGGCTTTCACTATGCTAGCCAGGCTGGTCTTGAACTCCTGACTTCGTGATCTGCCCGCCTTGGCCTCCCACAGTGCTGGGATTACAAGCATGAGCCACCATGCCCGGCCAGGAGCTTTTTATTAACTCAGAAGTTGTTCTTCTTGGGACCAGCACAGTACAAAAAAATCTCCAGGAGCCCAGGCACAACCCTACTGCAGGCTGGGGTTCAGAGAAAGGAGGGCCTTACAGAATAAGCAGGAATATATCAGCTGGAAGGGCAGGGAGAACAACATTTCTGGCCTTTGATAGGCTTGGGACAAAGCAGAACTGCAGCTGAGAGGCTGCCAGTATTGGTGGTAGTGAAGGAGAAGTAGGTCCTCACAGGCAACCATATTTTCCCCAGATTGGCTTTGCATATCTGCAGTCTCAAGTTCTCTGAGTTCCAGAATCCTGTATCCAATTGCTTACCTAAAATCTCTATTGGAGTTCTCACTGATTTCTCACTGACACCTCAAGTTCAACAGTTCCTAACTGAATCATGATTTACCTCTATCCACACCCCCAATAGTCTGATTTCTCTCTAGTTCTCCCTTTCCTCGTAAATAGAACCACTGTATTGAATTGTACAAGTCAGAAACCTAGGATTCCACCCAGTGATAACTGTCCTTTCCTCTCTGATTGTAGTTCTCAAGTTGGTCTACTTTTCATCTCCAAACCCTGACCTGGTCTGAGCATTTGATCACCTTTACTCTGGAATACTACAACATCTTCCTTATATCCACAATAGGAATGTGTCCAGTATTTTCTAAAAGCACAGCTAGAAAAACATCCTAAACCTGCTAGTCTGACAATGCCATTCATCAGATAAAACCTTTCAGTGACTTTTAGTTTTTGCAACCTAAAGCACAACACACACACACACACACACACACACACACATTTCCTATCTATGTGAAATTTATATTATAAAAGCATTAATTAAATGTACCAATTCATGTAAAATTTCAAGAAGGAGGTGACGAGAGATGCATGGCAGTATGTACTATCTCACATGGGCAGGGAGATAAGGGAAGGCTTCCCAGAAGAAGCAAAGTTTAAGCTGAAATCTAAGGGTGAGTAATATTTAGTTAAAGAGGTGAGAGAATAGTGAGACAGACACTTGGGGCAACATGGTCAAAAGGCCTCAAGGCAGGAGGGAACAGGCTAAAAGAATGCCTGTGTGATCAAGCTCGATAGAGAAGTGTGGTTCAAGAAGGTAGAGAGGTGGGCAGACTATGTAGATCATGATAAGCAAATTTGACTTCATCCAAAGTAATTAAAAGATACTGAAGGTTTTGAGGTTTTTTTGTTTTTGTTTTTGTTTTTGTTTTGAGATAGTTTAGCAAGACTTGTTTCTCCAGATGCGGGTCACAAAGACCCCATTGATAAAATAGGATGTGGTAAGGAAACCAGCCCAAACCAGCCAGTATCAAGATGGTGATAAAAGCAACCTCTAGTTATCCTCACTGCTTATTATACACTAATTATAATAAATTAGCATGCTAAAAGAGACTAAAGAGACTCTCATAAGCACCATGATGGTTTACAGATGCCATGACAACTCACAGGAGTTACCCTATATGGTCTAAAAAGGGGAGGAACCCTCAGTTCCAAGAATTCCCTGCACCTTTCCTGGAAAACTCAATAATAATTCACCCCTTGTTTAGCATATGATCAAGAAATAACCATAAAAATAGCCAACTAGCAACCCTTGGGGCTGCTCTGCCTATGAAGTAGCCACCCTTTTATTCTTTTCCCTTCTTCATAGACTTGCTTTCACTTTACTGTCAGCTTGCTCTTGAATTCTTTTCTGCATGAAGTCAAGAACCCATGTGACCTCCCAGGTTGAGGTTCAATTTTGGGGTTCACCCTGTGACATTATAAGATACTTGATTGGTAGTTTTTGTTCTTTCAGCACCTTGAATATTTTATCCCATTGCTTTCTGGCCTCCATTGTTTCTGATGAAAAATCATCTGTTATCTTATTGAGGTTCCCTTGAATGTGATAAGTCATTTTTCTCCTTTTTTGGGAGTCTTTCCCCCATGATTTTTGTGTAGAGTGGGGTCTTGTTATATTGCCCAGGCTGGTCTCAAACTCCTGGGCTCAAGCTATCCTCCTGCCTCTGCCTACGCCTGGCTCATTTTTCTCTTGCTGCTTTCAAATTTTTCCCTTTGAAAATTTCTCTTTCAACATTTTTACTGTCACGTGTCTGGGTGTGGATTTCTTTGCATTTGTTCTACTTGGAGCTCTTCAAACTTCTTGGATTGTAGATTTCTCTGAGCCTCTGTTTATTTTTCTTCTTTCTTTTTTCTGTTTGTTCTTTAGTCACATAATCTCTATCAGTCCATCTTCAAGTTTGCTGATTCTTCTGCTAGTTCCAATCTACTGTTGAATGTGTCTAGTGAAATTCTAATTTTAGTTATTACACTTTCCAAATTTAGAATTCCAAATTTTCATTTGGTTAATTTTTTATAATTTATATCTGTTTACTGATCTTCTCTATTCAATGACATGTTGACATTATACCTTTCTTTACTTCATTAAGCATGGTTTTCTTTAGTTCTTTGAACATACTTATAATGCCTGCTTTGAACACTTTGTCCATCACATCTGACATCTGGGCCATCCTTCTCAAGGCAATTCTATTGCCTGATTTACTGCCTATGTATGGGTCATGCTTTCCTGTTTCTTTGTATGTCTTTGTATAGACATTTCAGGTAATAGATTGTAGCAATTCTAGATATTGAGTACCCCCTCAACTCCAGGGCTTATTTTTGTTCCTTTTTGCTTATTTATTTAGTGACTTGCTTAGATAATTTTAATAAAGTCTATTTCCCTCACAGTGTGAAGCCTCTGATGTTGCTCCTCAGAGGACATACACAGACTTGGACATGAACAGTAACTGTGGGGTGACAGTAGTTTCCGCAGGACTCTCTTTATCTCTCTTTCCTTGATCCCTCTGTTAAGCTACCTGCTTTTGTTAGACACTGCCTAATTGTCAGGTGATTGCTTTTTTTTTTTTTTTGGACAATGCCCTGGGACATAAATTGCTCCGCAGTCTGATCCAATTAGATTTAAACCCCAGAAAAATAGAGGTAGTTTCTAAGCCCAGTTTTTGAGGTTTGTTGTGACTCCAAGAGGATTCCTCTTAGTTGTCTCTTTCCCTGGTTCTCTCTAGTAAGCTAACTGGTCTATGGCTCAGCTTCCTGCTCCCATGGAGTTACCAGCCTTCTCTTAACTGTTTACCACCAAAATCTCCATTGTATTTGAGAGAATTTTTAGACTTGAGCTTTCCCATATTCTACTTTAAATAAAGTCAGTTTCTTTGGGGAGAGTGTTAGAGCTCTCTGTTCTTAGGGACTTCCTCTTCTCCAGGGCAGAATATCTGAGCCACTGCCCTGAAAGTGAGGACAGGGACAGTAGCCTGCTTCTCTTGAACTGACACCCCTGCTTTACAAACAAGGTAGAAGATGGGAATGGTAGCTTCAGATCTTGTCTTGCCTCTCCTGGCATGAAACCTCCACCCTAAAAGTAAGCTGGAACAAGGACTACTGTGACCCCAGTACTCTTGACCTCCCATGCCTAGGACAGAGCCTCCATCTATGAGTGGGAGTTGGGTGGAGGAAGGGAGCCCCTCATCCCTCAGCCACACTCACCAGGAATTTAGCTTCTGCAATTCAGAGGTGGGTGATGAAAAATGCTAGTGGCCTGCCCTTCCTAGAGTGCTACTATATCCCTTGACTAGGAGCAGAGGGGAGAGGAGCCCCATTTTCTTGGTGATATTTGACCAGATTGCAACTTCTGTCATCAGGTTGAGATGGGAAGGGAGGAGGGAGGGGGTGGGTTGTGCCAAAGATTCCTTTTGTTTCTGCCAAGATCTAATAGATTTTCTTTAATAAATGTTTCTTCATTTGCTATATGCTCTTAGGACAATTTCCAGGGATTTATAAATGATTGGGTTTTTAAAAAATATATAACGCTCAATAGTTATGGCTGACTCTGGGGAGTGGGTACATAGAGCTCCTTACACTGCTGTTCCACAAGTGGAACTTCTGAGAGGCTTAAGGAGGGGATTTAATGATCAAAAGATCCTTCTGACTATTGGGTGAAGAATGGATCAAAGGGAGATCAAAGTATAAGCAGAAACACCAGTTAGAGGATACATTGAGTTGTCCGAAAGAGAAAGAAAAGTAGTGACTAAAGAGGTGGTGTGAAAATGGCAAAATAACGACCACATCTTTTGTTTATCATTGTAATTCTAGCACCCAGCACATGGTGGGCACTTAATAAATACTTGTTGAGTGAAAGAGTGACTGCTACCCACCTTAGAACTAAACCTTTACATTATCAAGCTTCTCATCATTGACTTCTCTTTTGCTCTGTTGCTGGATTATGGTAAGACTTGTTTTGTGGAAAGGCTGAAAAATTATAGTAGAAATTCTAGTATATGAAGAAGCCTTTGTGTAGGCTGACATGAGTCACCTCATCTGAGCCAGGAAAGCTTTTCAGAAGATAAAACATTTCATCAGGTCCTGAAGTGTGACACTGGTGATGCTATAGAAGAAAAGGGGGGAAATCTCAAACTCTGCTATGTTTTGTTAGACAAAAGCAACATCTTAATTAGCAGAAAATCTCTGGAATATTTGTCACATTTATAATTCTAGTAAATTTATCTGTTTCCTTTCCTTGGTGTCCTTAAATGTAAACTAAGAAGGTTAAATTAGCTGATCTGTACGGATTCAGCAGCTCTAACGTTCTAAGAGTCTATGCATCCATGAATGAAAGTCTGCAAGGAATAAATAACGAAAGGAACAAAATGCTCTTCCTACCTGGATTATGTATTGTTTCCTTTTTCCCCTTGAATTTCACACACATGAAATTATAGTCTAGAAGAGAACAGATAAAACATAGTTTTATTGAGCAAATAATCACTATTTCAGTAATTGGCAAAGATTAAAACATTTCAGCAACATCTTTTTTTTTTTTTTTTGGGACGGAGTCTTACTCTGTTGCCCAGGCTGGAGTGCAATGGCGTGATCTCTGCTCACCGCAACCCCTGCCTCCTGGGTTCAAGTGATTCTCCTGCCTCAGCCTCCCAAGTAGCTGGGATTACAGGCACGCACCACCACACCTGGCTAATTTTTTGTATTTTTAGTAGAGACAGGGTTTCACCATGTTGGCCAGGCCAGTCTCAAACTCCTGACCTCGTGATCAGGAGGCCTTCCAAAGTGCTGGGATTACAGGTGTGAACCACCATGCCTGGCCCACTTCAGCAACATCTAAATGAATAAACACAAATCCAATCTTCTGCCTCTTTCCTGTACTTATTTGATTTCAAATAATAATTTCCATTTTCAAACGCTTTAAAAATTTTTGGTGGTCAATGGATTATTTGAAACTCATTAGATACATGAGCACCCTCTGAAACACACATAGAAAAATATATATACCCTCATGTATCCATGCAACTTGAAGAGGTTTCCCAAACCTTAAGGGCCCTGGGTTCCAGAGTAAGTTTATATTGTAATTTACAATTTAAAAAGGGCATTTTGTATCTTGCTTAACACACAACTCTGTAAGTAAAGCAATATTAACTTCATCTTACATATGAAGAAATTGGAACTTAGAAGCGTTTACCATTCATCTTTTTCCAGGAAGGTAAGAGAAAACACTGAGGCTGCTTTTTTTCCCAGAGTGCTGATAGCCTCCCATGGCAAGGGAGAAGGAAATCAAAGCCAATCTCCATCCCAAATAGAATCTCGAAGGAGGGACCCCTTCACTCCAATGAAGATAGGGTACCAAAGGTTTATACCTCTCCCCTACTCCAAGGGCTACAAGAAAAATACCTTGTTGCTAAGCCTAAGAGAGAGGGAAAAGGACTGAAAAGCTTCGACAAGTTAATCATCACTCAAATTTGCAGCCTACAGACACATCACTGAATTTGATTAGTCAAAAAAAATTGTCAGCTTCTGAATTTATTTAAAAATTGTTCTGAATTGTTAATGCCTTTGAACACCAAATAATCAAATACGTATCCACTCTAGAGGAAAACACCTTTATCCTAGACCAGAAAAAAAACCCACATATCATTTTTCAGATAAATAAGCAGCACACAGTCAAAAATAATCAAGCACACAAGCAAGATACCATGAACAAGAACTTTTAGAAACCACAGAACAAATAGAAAATATACCAGATTTTCACATATTTCTGATGTTGGAATTATGAGACTTAGGCTATAGAACAACATACTTACAACAACTATGCCTATTTTTTTAAGAGCTGGGGAAGGAGGTTGTCTGTGTGTGTGTGTGTGTGTGTGTGTGTGTGTGTTTGTGTGTGTGTGTGTTTTAATACTTGGAGAAAGCTCACTTCTGACTGGAGAAAAAGTATAAGGGATAAAGTAACCTAACAAATTTGAAAAAGAACCAAAATGAATGTCTATAAATACAAATTATAATAACCAAAATTAAATACTGAATAACATTAAATATAACTGAAGACAGAATAAGTAAACTAAATGTAGGTTAGAAAAAATTATTCACAATATCACAAGAGATAAAAATAAGGAAACTATGAGCATTCAGAGACATGAAGTGTAGAACAAGGTCTGATGTACACTCCACTGAAGCTCCACAAGGAGAAGGAGACAGAATGGTTGTTAATTTTCTTATAGCTCTTTATTTTTTATTATAAAATTATTTAAGCATACATGAAAGAAAAAAGTAGATAATAGTACTATAAACTGTATATGCCTATTACCCAGACTTCACAGTTATCAAGATTTTGCCACATTTGTTTATTTTCTTTCTTTATTTTTATTTCCTTCTTTGTTAAAATATGTTAAAGCCATTCCCAGATGTCATATTGTTTTGCTTTTATAGGCAATATTTGAATTTTGAATTGCTAGGAATTTTCTAAGACTAATAAAAGGTACTACCCACACAGATTCAAAAATCCCAACCATTCCCAAGCAGGATAAGCAAAAATAAATCCACATCTGGACACTGTACAGAAACTTCAGAATATCAAGACAAAGAGAAACTCTAAAAAGCAGCCATGGGTTTACATAACTTGCTCAAGGCCATGCAGCTAATAAATGACAGAGTCAAGCCTCCTTTCAGGGCCTATTTATTTCTAAATTCAGCATCTTCCCTTAATAGTACACTAAACCTCTATACTAAACTCATTGCTTGGGTATCATTCAGAGAATTGATATACTTACCTTAATAAACATATCTCTCAGTATATTTTTCTTTTACAGTAATTTCTTCTAACCTATTTTTAGTTTTCTTATTCTGTCTTCAGTTATATTTAATGTTACATTTACATTCTCCTTCAGAATTGGGACCAGAAAGAACTAACATTCAGTCTCTTACTGGTGGGTTTTTACCTAAGGATTAAGAGTAGGCAGAGACCCTACAGCTCAATGACTTTAAGTCTTCATTTTATAGATGAGAAAACTGGGTCCTAAGTGAACAGACTTGGCTGAGGATAACAGCTAACATATCATTGCCCAGACATACAGGAAGCTTATGCTTGTGATGGAAACGGCTAACCATGTCCAAAATTTCTCAGAGAGCTAGTACACAGAAGGAATTTTTTTTGAAGTTAGAAAAAAAATTTCATCTGATCTGAAAAAGTTGGGCTTGTCAATATTTCTTTAATTTCCTAATGAGAGAAATAAATTGGTTATCCTTAAAACAAGCAGTTGTAGAAGTAAATGAATGCCTTCACCCTGGTAAGGTTGGGAGCAATCAAAGAGTTGGTGGAGTAAAAGCCACTAACAGTTGAGGATTAAAGGAACCGTGGGAGAAGACAAAATGACATTTAATTCCAGCCTAGACCAGATATTGTTGGAAAGCGTGAGCTGTACAGAACATTTTAATCAGACTTTGTAACTTTGTATGTAAGATCAGGATTCAGCGATTGGTGAGTTGAAGATTCACCAAAAATTACCAACATTTTAAAAATAACTTCTTTTTAATTTTTAGAAGTTATACATGCTTATTACAGGAATTTTAGAAAATACTGAAAAATATAATAAATAATAAACATTTTAAAAGATATATAAGAAATACAATTTAAAGTGCAATAAGACCAGGTGCAGTGACTCACTCCTGTAATCCCAGCACTTTGGGAGGTCGAGGTGAGTGGATCACCTGAGGTCAGGAGTTCGAGACCAGCCTGGCCAACATGGTGAAACCCCGTCTCTATTAAAAATACAAAAAAAATTAGCCAGGTGTGGTGGTGCATGCCTATAATCCCAGCTACTTGGGAGGCTAAGGCAGGAGAATCGCTTGAATCCAGGAGGCAGAGGTTGCAGTGAGCTGAGATCGCGCCATTGTACTCCAGCCTGGGCAACAAGAGCGAAACTCCATCTCAAAAAATAAATAAATAAAAAATAAAAATAAAAAAATAAAGTGCAATAAAATAAAAATAATCAATAACTCAGTAAATAAAAGTTATACCAGTAACTAATGATACATTGCTAATGTATCATTTTCTTCTCATCTTTCTTCTATGCACATAAATATGTTTTTACTATCACCGTGATAAACACCCTCATTCATAAATCTTTGACCATAATTTTGTTTATTTCCTTTGAATAAGCTCCTAGAAGCGAGGATATAAAGGTAAGAGCTTTGTACAGTTCACGATATATTACCAAACTGACTTTCAGAATGGTTGTAACAAACTACATTTCTAAGAACTTTATTCAAAGTGGAGTCCCACACAAGAGGATTTGTTTGTTCAGCTATGGTAAAGCATATGATGGACTATTATGTAGCCATTGAAAATCATACTTTTGAATCCTATATAAGATGCGGAAAATGCTTACACTGTAACATTAGGTTAAAAAGTAGGATACAAAACATTATACACAACACGATCCGAATTTTGTTCAAAAAACTACATATACATTTAGAAAACACACATACGTATACACATAAAATAAACTGAAAGGCCAAACACCAAAATATTAATAATGGTCAGCGGGGAACACAGAGTTGTTGTAAAACAGCAGAGTTGTTAAGAGATTAGGCTTCCAGTCAAACAGAGCTGTGTCTGAATCCTGGCCTGCCACTTACAAGCTCAGGTTTACAACCTTGAGCTACTTCTGTAACTTCTATAGGACTCAGTAACCTCCTCTAAAAAAAAATATGAAAAATGTGGCTGGGCACGGTGGCTCATGCCTGTAATCCCAGCACTTTGGGAGGCCAAGGAGGGTGGATCACCTGAGGCTGAGATTTGGAGACCAGCCTAACCAACATGGAGAAACCCCGTCTCCACTAAAAATACAAAATTAGCCGGGCGAGGTGGCGCATGCCTGTAATCCCAGCTACTCAGGAGGCTGAGGCAGGACAATCGCTTGAACCCGGGAGGCAGAGGTTGCAGTAAGCCGAGATCGCGCCATTGCACTCCAGCCTGGGCAACAAGAGCGAAACTCTGTCTCAAAAAAAAGAAAAGAAAAATGTAAAACCTGAAACTACTTCATAGGTTCCCAGGAAGGATTAAAATAAATGGAATGAATGTAGGACTCCTGAGATAGAGTAATCAATAAATGATAGTTATTTTTGTCTTTTGGATAGCATGACTATAGGGGGTTTTATTGTCTTTGGTATACCTCTTTTTACATTTTTTTAATTTTTTGGAGACAGAGTCTCACTCTGTTGCCCAGGTTGGAGTGCGGGGGCACTATCTCGGCTCACTGCAACCTCCGCTGCCTGAGTTCAGGCAATTCTCGTGCTTTAGCCTCCTTAGTAGCTGGGATTACAGGCATGTGCCACCATGCCCAGCTAATTTTTTTTATTTTTTAGTAGAGACAGGGTTTCACCATGTTGGCTAGCCTGGTTAGGAACTCCTGGCCTCAAGGAGTGATCTGCCACCTCGGCCTTCCAAAGTGCTGGGATTACAGGCTTGAGCTACCTTGCCCAGCCTCTTTTGTTTACTTTTAAAAACACTTTTGTATATTTTCTAAATTAAAAGGCACCAAAACTATTATCACAGAAAAAAAATTTTTTAAAGATAATACTACTTTTTTCTTTTTTTTTTCAAGATGGAGTCTCACTCTGTCGCCCAGGCTGGAGTGCCGTGGTGCAATCTCAGCTCACTGTAGGTTCAAGCAATTCTCCTGCATCAGCCTCCCAAGTAGCTGGGACTACAGGCATGTGCCACCACACCCGGCTAATTTTTGTATGTGTAGTGGAGACGGGGTTTCACCATGTTGGCCAGGCTGGTCTCGAACTCCTGACATCAGGTGATCCACCCACCTTGGCCTCCCAAAGTGCTGGGATTACAGGCGTGAGCCACCGCACCTGGCCTGATAATACTACTTCTTTATTGGGGAATTAAGTAATATTTCCATGTCATTGTTTCTCTCTCTGCAAAAAAAAAAAAGAAAAGAAAAGAAAGAAAAAAGTAAAATTCTAGGAACCTCTCAAGTTTTAAAAGACCTGTAGTGAAATAATAGTAGTTTACAGGTATGCAATTCTTACTATCTGCCAGGAACTATGCACTGGTATTCCAAGGGCAGAGCAGTGGAAGAGCCTAGTCTGGTGCAACAATAGGGGGTGAATTGTCTGCAGACAATGTGAAAAAGCAATAAAACCTCATTTGTCTGCTTTTTATTATCACCATGTGCCCATAATTTTAAACAATGTTGGCCAGGCACAGTGACTCATACCTGTAATCCCAACATTGCAGTCCAGCCTGAGCAACAGAACAAGACCCCAAATGAGAAAACAAAACAAAACAAAAAGCAATGTCAGTAATAAAAATACTCTTCCTTAAAAAAAAATTTGGTTGATCTACCTTCAAAACTATTGAATTTTAATAATGTGGTGTGTGTGTATATATACATACTTATAGATATATATTATATATATCTAATACTTATATTTATATGTGTGTATATATATGCTTCAAATTAGCAAACATTACTTATGTCTTACCAAGCATTATATTCTACATGGAAACAAATCCAGACAACCACTAGTTATGCATCCACCCAGACACACGTGGACATGGCTGCATGGGCTTGCTTCAAGAGTAAGTTCATAATGGTTAGGAACTGTTCAAACTCATTGAGGTCATTGTTCATGTCCCAAATCCCTGTAGTACAATATATCTCTACACTTAAACAGTAGACATAAATAATGATAGCACGGTGTTTCTCAAGACGAAGAAGTAAAACTGGATTAATTCAATTTAATCATGCTATATGACAATTTGTACATTTAATTTGGGTTTAAAAATTTAAAAAGTGAAACAGTATAAACTGCAAGGTGTAATACCTTTAGACAGTATACATTTCAGTTCATACAAAACATACATTTTCATTTTTAAAAATTGAAATGTATTATTTTAAATTGTTCATTGCTTCTAACTAAAGAATAAGAAAATGATGATTACTGTTAATAGTTTTGTCATTCTCGTGTCAAGCATGCCAGACACACCATTGTAACCTTGCAAAGTGCTCTCCCTCATTTAATAATCATGATGCAATGTCATAGATGAGGAGTTCTGAGAACTTCTGTAGCTTGGGCAGGGTCCCATAGCTAGAATTTGCTGGACTGGTTATCAGTCCCACAGTTGTCTCACTCCTAAGCCCAAGATTGTAACCAGTGCGTCAAGATGTTTGAGTTGCTAACAACAAAGGCAAAGTGAGGAATAAAGGTTTTTGAGCTTCAGGTTCATTTTGAAAAAGGAGACTTGCTTCAAGGAAGTTCATTACTTTTGCCAAGAACCTCGGTTTTTAGATTGTCAATTATCTGTACCAATACTCTCCTAAGCAATTACCCAGGGGCGTGAAGGAGTTTATGCACCTTTCCATAGGAAGCAATTTACTTTCCTTTCTCAGGACAAAAAAAAAAAAAAAAAAAAAAAAAAAAAAAAAAAAAAAAAGGCCCATTAGCCTTCTAACAAAGGCATTTTCTCATGTCACATAATAGAAATTTAATTTTTTTCTAAATAATGTTAAAATAATAAAGAGGATCTATTTTTGGAGTTGAGACAAGGATGTAATAATGAGCCAAATGGGCTTTCTCAATAGGTTAATACCTGAAGGCACTGGTGCTCACTCTGTATTACATGTGCCTTGACATTTACTTCCTAGAGAGGTGCCAACATTTACAGTGTTTTTAAATGCAAGACTGCTCTCAAGCCACAACTTTTAATTCCAATGTGACATTATCCTTTCCTTTCCCCTGAAGTCATGAATGAGTTGTGGTTGGCAACACATGAAGAAAATTGCTGATATCAGGAAAAGGTCTGGTAATAGAATCAGAATTTAAATGCTGGGAAGTGTTGGGATCAGGTTACTAAATCTTTTCTCTGGCAAAATTTCAACTAGAACTTTCAGCAGAAAGTCTCACTATGGAAGGCCTTACATTTCCAGGAAGGTACTTGTGTTGGCAGAAAGAGGGGCTAGAAGAATAAATAAGAATTCAGACCTCAACATTCATTGAGGGTGTGTTACATGTCCTGAAGGCTCTCATACTTTTACCTTCACAACAGTCTCATGAGAGTTCTGTTTGTTCCTATTTTATAGATAGAAAAAGTGCTTTTTTTTTTTTTTTTTGAGACAGTGTCTCACTCTGTCACCCAGGCTGGAGTGCAATGGCATGATCATAGCTCACTGCAGCCTCAACCTCCTGGACTCAAGCAATCCTCCCACTTCAGCCTCCAGAGTAGCTGAGACTTCTGGCATGCACCATCATGCTGGCTAATTTTTAAATTTTTTGTACAGATGAGATCCCACTATGTTGCCCAGGCTGGTCTTGAACTGGGCTCAAGCGATCCTCCCACCTCGAACTCCCAAAGTGCTACTACTGCAGGCATGAGCCACTGTGCCTGGCGAAAAATTGCTTTTAGCAGAGGCTGAGGGACTTGCCCAAGGTCTCATAACTAGTAGATGGTAAAATGGATATGTTAGCTCAATTGTCTCAAGTCTAGGGCTTTTCCCATCATGCTACAGTTGCCTCTCCACACTATGGCCACTTCCATGTCCAACATGGCATTATCAAGTTATGAAAAGAAATCACATGGACTATGGCATCAGACAGCTTGAGTTTGGACGCTAACCTTGCTACTTAATAGCTATTGGACAGTGTACAAATTATCTCTTGGAGCAGTGACAATGGCAATGCTTACCAAATAATCCACTTCTTCTACATTTCATCCCCCTTTGACAATGTGAGGACATGTGACTACTACTAACCAGTAAAATGCAACCAAAAGTGGTATGTGTCATTTCTAGGCTGAGGCAGTAAAAATTCCATGGGTAATTATCCAACACTCTCTTCTTGCAGAGAGAGGGTTAGAAGACTTCAAGTTACACAGGGTGCAGCTAAAATACCTTAGAAGGCTGGGCGCGGTGGCTCATGCCTGTTATCCCAGCACTTTGGGAGGCCAAGGCAGGTGGATCATCTGAGGCCAGGAGTTCAAGACCAGCCTGGACAACATGGCGAACCCCTGTCTCTACTAAAAATACAAAAATTTGCAGGGCATGGTGGCATGCACCTGTAATACCAGCTACTCAGGAGGCTGAGGCAGGAGAATCGCTTGAACCCTGGGAGGTGGAGGTTGCAGTGAGCCAGGATCGTGCCACTGCACTCCAGCCTGGGCGACAGAGTGAGACTCCATCTCAAAAAAATAAAATACAATATCTTAGAGACTTCATAAGCCTGGACACCTGAATGACTATGTAAAGCAGACAGTATTATTGCCATCTCTCCCTCTGGACCAACTGCTGTGTCATACATACTATGAGGGAGAAATAAACTTTCTCCTATTAAACCACCTAGGTTTGAGAATTAGTTTGTTATAGCAGCATAATACAGTCTATCAAGACTATTTTTATATCTCATTTGACTAATCTCTAAAATAGTAATAATAATTTTTACTTAATAGACTTACTGTAAGGATGAAGCAGGACTTTTATATGTTATACCTGAATACATTATCAGTCTACCAAGAGGTAAGAAAAAAGTTGAATATATGGCAATCTTGGTGACTTGTTATCTGTTTTTTTTTTCCCAAAATTATAGGAAACTGGACTACATGATCTTCAAAGATTCTGTGCCAGCAACTGCAATGTCCTGCTACTTCTCAACTCTACATTTCTCTTTACCTCAGAATTTGGTTATTCAGGTGTTCAACCCAGATTTATCAGTGATTATTCTCTGTCAAATGCTGTGCTGGGAATTGACCTCAAGAGTGGTCTATAAGAAGGGACAACCAGGGCCAGGCATGGTGGCTCATGCCTGTAATCCCAGCAATTTGGGAGACTGAGGCAGGTAGATCACTTGAGGTCAGGAGTTTGAGACTAACTTGGCCAACATGGTGAAACCCTGTCTCTACTAAAAATACACACACAAAAAAAGTTAGCCGAGCATGGTGGTGCACACCTGTAATCCCAGCTACTTGGGAGGCTGAGACAGGAGAATTGCTTGAACCTGGGAGGCGGATGTTGCAGTGAGCCAAAATCGTGCCATTGCACTCCAGCCTGGGAGACAGAGCAAGAAAAAGAAGGGACAATCTGGATTTCTCCTGAATTTAAACTGAAGACAGGGTATACATTTTTGGGGGATGGAGAGAAGACGGTCTGGAGAACCTTAGCATAGTTTCTCTTTCCTACTTTTGAGGAAGCCATAAATGAAACTCTCCAGGAAGGAGCATAGGGAAGCTAGTGACAGTCATGAGCAGGCCCTTTGGGAGGGGAACAGCATGTCATTTTTGCTTTAGTACTCTTTTAAAATGTCTTTCTACATCCCTGCAACTAGCTGAGGGGGAGTAAGAGAGCAAAACTGTCAGACCAGCAGCATCTTAATTATGGAGATTAGAAATATTTTATGCAATTGACACAGCCTCTCCTAAATTACATAGTATTAGGGAAAACGACTCTGTCTAGCACCAATGAAAAAGGAAGAAAGGACATCTCTGAGAAAGAACAGGTGGATTTTGACAGTTTGTCCAATAAAATAATAATAGGGAAAGAAACTTCAAAAACCAAGCCAATAGTACACTTTTCATTGCCTTACACAAATCTCTTAACAGGACTTGAGGGAAGCTGGGAATGATTGTAGCTAAACTTCAAATTGCTAGTCCAGCAATGTGTGCAGACCCTGTAGCCCGCTCTGCCTCCCCATTCCTCCATGTTGTTCTGTAGCACCACACTAGGAGACAAACTATTGGAGCACTTGGGAAGTGAGTAAGTTGGTGGTCAAGTCAGGCTTAATTTCCAAGGAGTCTATGTCCTTTGCTCAGTGGGAGAAATATCAGTTAGTATCCCCGAAGTGGTACCTTGGTATTCTCAAAAAGTTCAATTACTTCCCAAGGCCTAGTAATTTCCTGCCAGGCACAGAGCATCTGGTTCTATAAGAATTGAGGCCCACTGAAAGCATTCCGAAGACTGAAGGCTTTGGTAAGGAATATGGAAGACTCCTGTCAATCATACTTAGGCACCATTTTTCTGAATTGGAGAGTTGATGAGTAGGGGCATAGCTCTAACACCTACTGTTTTTATTGTTTAAGCTTTCCTCCCTTTAGTCCTCCCTGTAAGATACCACCATAGTGATCATTTTAAAGCAAAAAGCCTACCGTATTACTACTTTACTCAAAACCCTCTGAATTTCTCTTATCTGTTAGGAGGTACAAATTCCAAGGCCTATGAATGCCAGAGGGTAATGTAGATAGGAAAAACTGGCCCCTGTCAGAAGAGACTTTAGAGAGTGTTTGAAACTGTGACAAACAGAAGAGCTCAAGCCAAGATCTCCCAACCTACATGTTCTTCTTACAGTGTGACATTGATAATTCCTCAAGGGTAGGGTTTGGAGAGCACCGATGGTCCCTTCCCTTGAATCTGAATGGGCCCGTGCCTATAGCAAAAGTGATGCTATGTGCTACCTGAGGCCAGGTTATAAAAGGTAATGCAGGCTGGCCACGGTGGCTCACACCTGTAATCCCAGCACTTTGGGAGGCTGAGGTGGGCAAATCGCCTGAGGTCAGGAGTTCAAGACCAGCCTGGCCAATATGGTGAAAACCCATCTCTACTAAAAAATACAAAAAATTAGCTAGGCGTGATGGCACATGCGTGTAATCCCAGCTACTTGGGAGGCTGAGGCATAAGAATCACATGAACCCAGGGGGTGGAGGTTGCAGTGATCCAACATCACGCCACTGCACTCCAGCTTGGGCAACAAGAGCAAAACTCTGTCTCAAAATAATAATAATAATAACATTAAATAAATAAATAAGTAAAAGGTAATGCAGTGTTAGTCTGGTCCTCTAAAGATGCTCACCCTGGCCGAGCGTGGTGGCTCACGCCTGTAATCCCAGCACTTTGGGAGGCCGAGGCAAGTGGATTAGCTGAGATCAGGAGTTTGAGACCAGCCTGGCCAACATGGTGAAACCCTGACTCTACTAAAAATACAAAAAGTGTGGTGGCAGGTGCCTGTAATTCCAGCTACTCAGGAGGCTGAGGCAGGAGAATTGCTTGAACCCAGGAGGTGGAGGTTGCAGTGAGCCCAGATTGTGCCTTTGCACTCCAGCTTGGGTGACAGTGAGACTGTCTCAAAAAAATAATAATAATAAAATAAATAAAAATAAAAATAATTAAAAAAAAAAGATGCTCACCCTTAGAACTCAGCTACCAAGCTGTGAGGAAACCCAGGTCATGTGGCAAGGCTCCAAGTAGGTATTCTGGCTGATGGCAAACAGTTAGTATCAACCTCCGGGCATGAGTAAACTTCAAGATAACTCCTGCCTCATAGCTAACTGCAATCACCTGACAACCCTCAAGCGAGAACCGCTTAGCTGAGCCTACTCTGTTCCCCCAATGGTGAGAGTTGATGACTGCTGTTGTTTTAAGTCATCAAGTTTTAGTTTGGTTTGGGATACAACAACAGATAACTGGAACATGCAATAGATCTTATTGATTTCTAAGCCTGCACCTTTGCTTAAGTCATTTTATACCTGAGAGTTCTCTTTTTCTCCCATCATCTTCACTTATCCAAAGCTACGTGTTAAGGACCAGCTGAAACACAATTTATGAAGCCTTTCCTAATCATTGCATTTGTGACCTGTTCTTTCCCTGTACTCTGGACACTGTATATGTTCTTCATGATTAACAGGTCATTCAGGAGAACCCCCTCCCTGTCCTTAATAAAATAAAATGTTTTATAATATTAAAATATTTAAATATAGTTTTTTTAAGTACATGCTTTTGTCAAAACTACAAAAAATTCAAAAGTTATAATTCAGAACATGTCTCTCTTCTGTCTGGTTCTATTTCACCACGATTTATCCCCACCTCTTCTCCAAAGGTTACTGCTGTTAACAGATTGGTACATATTCCTCACAACCTCATCTACACAAACATGCACACACGTGCTTGTGCACACACAGTTTACATCACACACACACAACGATTGACATGAACAGGATTCCATCATAATCCTGTTTTGTAAACTACTGTTTTTAGTTGATGGTATATTTTAGTTATGCATAGCCCATGTCATTAAATACAGATTGCTCTTACTTTTTAACAGTTGCATAGTGCTTCCTATTATTTAAGCAATTACTTAACCAATCTTCTGTTTATGGAAATTTAGTTTTCTCTCAATTTGTCCTTATTAAAAACAAAACTGTATTGCTGTTGGATATTCTCAGGGTAAGAACTGCTGGGTTAAAAGAATACACCTTTTACATTTTGATACAAATTCTTAAACTTCTCCCCAGAAAGAGGGTAACTATTTATATCACCATTAATCATGTATAGAGTACTGTGACCTTCTCTCACACTGGTTATTATTAAGCTTTTAAATCTTTGCCAATTTGCTAGGTGAGGAATGATGTCTCCTAATTTTTAAGCTTACAGTTTTATTATTAGTAAGGCTGAGCAACATTTCACGTTTTATTAGTTCTTGTATTTCTTTCACTGTGGATTTTGTCTGTTATGTCCTTTACTCATATTTCTGTGGAGTGGGTTTTTTTTTCTTTTTTCTTTTGGTTTTAAATAGGAGCTTCTTGTGTATTATGTAAACCTTTACATAGACTTTGCAAGTATTATTTATCTCTTTGTCATTTGTATTCATTTTGTAGTATCTTTTGCATGTAGGAGTTTTAAAATGTTTATGTAGTTAATCCTATCTGTCTTTTACTATGGTATTAGGTTAGTGTTATCCAAAGAAAAGCCTTTTATAATTCCAATATTAGAAAAATTATTATTATTATTATTTTTTGACAAAATTTGGCTCTATTGCCTAGGCTGCAGTGCAGTGGTGCCATCTTGGCTTACTGCAACCTCTGCCTCCCAGGCTCAAGCCATCTTCCCATCTTCAGCCTCCTGAGTAGCTGGGACTACAGATGCACACCACGACGCTCGGCTAATTTTTGTATATTTTGTAGAGACAGGATTTCGCCATGTTGCCTAGGCTGGTCTTGAACTCATGAGCTCAAGAGATCTGCCTGCCTCAGCCTCCCAAAGTGCTGGGATTACAGGTATGAGCCACTGTGCCCAGCCAGAAAAATAAACCTATTTTATACCAGAAGTTTTACAGTAAAACAACAGCAACAACAAGTATTTTAAAAAGTAGTAATCTAATATTTAAGATAAGCTTTCCTTTGAGACATTCTAGGCATTTATAAATCTAAATTCCTAGGGACTCATTGACAAAATTCATTCATTCATTGAATAAATATTTATGAAACATTCCTGGATACCAAACTGTTTTCTAGGCTTTTGGTACACAGTGGGAACTTGTCTAGTGGAAGTAAGAAAGGGTTAATAGGGAAAAAAATGTAACAGCATTTTTTAAATAAAAAAAAAAAAATCAATCTTTGTGGACCTCCTTTACGCTTATATAGTATGTGGACTTTTCCCTTTCATTACATTTAAACTATACTCTGTTCTTGGTTTAAATATCTTTCCACCCCTTAAGAATGATCTAAAGGCAAGGAGTGTACTTCGTCTTTGAATCCCAGGCACCCAGCTAGGTATTTGGTTCATTATAATGGCTCAAGACATGCACTGTTAAATAAATAGATTTCCCTACTTTACAAATTTCTTCTTTCCTTCTCAAATTAATACTCATCACCCTGCTTCCATTTCCTCTCCTTCCTCATCCCAGCATCCCAAAATGAAAAACCAACACTAATTTTATGTTGGAAACAGCTCAAATCCCTGAGAACTGATGCATGAGCACAGGCTACTTAATCAAAATCGAACATGCTTAGCTCATAGAAAGCAGTCAATATAAAAATTATTAAATGAATTGAATGACTACAATGTTTAAAAAAGTCATTCAGAAAAGTAGTAGGAGGAAGATACACCCCTCTAAACACAAGTTTATAACAAGCATTTTAAAGAGAATTCATACATTGTTTGATCTTGCAACAAAAATCCAAGTGAAACCACAAATAAAAGCCAGAGTTATTAATAAATATTGGAGGAACATCAACTTACAAGTGTGACCAGAAACAAAGTTGCAGAGCTAAGGACTTAAGAATTGCCAGTCTTGCTGAATACAATGTTGTCTTTTTCTGTTGCATGCCTGAGTTAGGGAAAGCTCTCTTCAGGTAAAGTGGATTTCTAACTTCTGGTTTAACTGGGAGGCTGAGATACATTTCTACCTTCTCAAATAGAGACTGCTCTTGCCTCTCTGGCAATGAATGAACAGTTACAGCCCTTGGTTACAATTAGTTTTGGCTTTTGGAGCATCTCCCTGGGGTGATATGTGAATGCTCAGGAGGAAGAGGTTGTGAGGCAAATCTGGAAGCTAGGGCTCTGCTGAAGCAAATAAGCTCTTGTGGGATGTGACTGTGAGCACAGTATGTGCTAAAATGTAAATAACACAGCCACAGCACCAAATGCCACGGTTTTTAAATTAAGAGGACTATTCTGAGCAGTTATAGACATATACATGTAGAGACGCATTTGTATTTCTGTTACCCCAAAACCTGAAATCATGTGAACAAGAAGTCAGGCTTCATAAAAATCATTGGAAAGACCATTAATTCAATGTTTTCCCTCAGTGAGTGACCAGCACCAAGACCTCCACCTGAAGCTGGAACCCTTGGAATTCACACAGCCAATTATGCAATACCAGACCACTGGGAAGCATTTCTGGCTGGCTCAGCTGGTGATCCGATTTTACCCTGCAGCACCAAGATTGATAGACCTTATAATTTTATCCTGGTTAGCGCAGATGGTTTTTACATAAGTTTCTAAAAACCTCCTTTCTCCCAAAAGAAAAAGAAAAACAACCTAAGCCCCTACGAAGGGGCTTGCCCTGGTAACATCTCACCATAGTAGATAAGTACCCTGATCACTGGCTTAAGAAAAAAAAAATCCCTTTTGTGATTTCTGAGTTTGCTGTGGTTTAATTTCATTGAATGCTGTGTGTACTTGTTTATAAGAGTGAAAAGGAATAGTAATTTGCCCCTCTCTAAATCACTCCTTTTACGAGGCTTTTTTTGGGCATGAGGGGGATGGGAAAGAGACTCATTCTTAGAAGGTACAGCATATCAATGCAAGAGCTGTTAGTTTCCCTCATGCTAATGACGAAGTATAATTTTGAAACATCAGATTCATATGCATATATGGTGCATACATACATAATTGGTGTATTTACAAAGCACCTTGCAGAATCTTAGAACTCTTAGTTCTATTAACACTTAAAGGGAAAACCAGAGTGCAGATCAGTCAAGCACAACGGACTGTAGTTGCTTTCAATTATATTCACCCATTATCTATGTCTAGGAAAGAGATCTCTAAAAAAGCAAAATACATTTTATGAAGCACTGCCACAGTCTGTTACGCATTTATCTCCTTCTACAGTTCCAATTACAGAATAAGCACTAGCTACTACACGGAACGGCAGCACTAGCCAAAAAGATTTTTCTAATCTGAGAGAAATGCTCCCATATTGACTCTGCAAAGAGAAACAACTCCCCTTTCCTTGACTATAAAGAAGGAAGACAGATGGCTTCTTGTTTAGGACTGTAGTTTTACTTTCAGCCTCCTCCCCGAGTTAAAAACAAGATGTACTTTTCTGGCTTTGAGGGAAAATCTCAAGGGAATGTTTTTTATTCTTGGCTGCACTGAATAATTCAACAAACATTTGAGAGAGCTGAGGGAGATACAAAGGAGAAAATACTTTTCCTTGTTCTCAGGGAGTTTACAATCTAATTCTGGAGTTTACAACCAGAATTGGGACTAGAACCATTAGTTTTATGTCTTCACTTGTATTTATTGGTTTAATGGTTATGGGAAACACATGTAGGATTCGCCAGCTCCGTGGTATGGTGGACCCTCTGATTAACCTGAAAGGAAACTAGAAAGAATGCAGAAGAATTCAAGATCTCAATCAGTTGAGTACTTGCTGACCTAGCAGCACTTTCTTATGTTATTTAATCTTGACCACAAGCCTTTGCAGTCATCCCTGCTACCAGCATTTCACAGAAGCGGACAATGAGATTTGGAGAGATAACTCGTCCACAGTCACGAACTCAGGAAATGGCATAGGAAAACATCAATTAGGAATTCTTCTTCCCTGGCCCTTTCTGTAGCTGTCCCCTTACAGGCTACCATTCCAACTTTCCTTGGCTTAGATTCCCTTTCAGTGCATGTAAAGTCAATTTAATTCTGTGTTCTTTTCTTCCCTCTATACTTTAACTAATCTTTAAAACTTGATGTCTCATATTTGGTGAATCAGTCCTTTTGGAAGTCTCACTCCCTTGCAGCTTTGCAAATAAAGTTTTTCTTTTCTTTCCTGTGGCTGTCTTTTGAGACATTCTTTGACAAGATGAAATGACATATGAAGGCTATAACAGTGCCTGATAATGTGGGGTTTTTTTTAACATCATTATCTTTAGTTTTATTTCTTTCACTTTTTAACTGTTTTCACCTCATACTGTATTTCCTAACGACTCGTTTGGAATTGTAAATTTCTTGAAGGTAGTTACCACGTCTACTCTAACTTGTTGCTACTTCCTTGAGTCTTACTGATTTAGCAACAGGAACTTGGTAAGTCTCTTTTGCTCGCCTCTTTATTCCCAGTACTAGTCACTGGAACGTAGTGTGTCTTCAGTAAGTATTTTTAATATGAATAAATTAATGTCCCCTTATTGTTTTTTGTAGACTATCCTGTATAAGAAAGTTTAGCTTAGATCCAGTATGGCTTTGACTTGCGAGCCTGGATAACTTTTTGCCTTTTCCTCATTTCTGGCTATTTATTACCATTTCAACCTTGGGAACATTTCATTAGGTTCTTGGTCCCTTTCAAGCCTCAGTTTCCACATCAGCAAAATGGGGACAGTAGCAACAGATGCTTGTTTCTTCCCGTCTTCTTATCACCTATTCCTTCTCCAGGAAAGGTTTCTTGTGTACGCTTTCCTCTGGAGAAAAAAAACAGCCGACGGGGCGGTAAGAAGCCATCAGGATCCTGAGTTGTGCGTCCAGTAGGGAGAGGGAGAAGTCCCGCTTGCCTCCTAGATCCGGAAGCAATCCGGCCCCTTTTTGGCAGCGAGTTGGCCCGGTCTTTGGCTGCCTCAGACCGCGTTGCCCTCCAGCCTCGAGGCAGAGAGCTGCCTCGGTGCCACAGCTAAATAAGCCCGGCGCCGCGCAGCCTCTGACACGCGCGGAAGGGCCCGGCCTTGTTCTGGCTGCCGCCGCCCTGCCACCAGCACGGCGCTGCACTGGGGGCGGGGAGTCTGATGGGAGACGCGCGCGGCGCTGAGGAGGCGGCGGCCCGGGAGAGGGAGCGGGAGAGGGACTGGGCGCGGGAGGCGGGAGGCGGGGGGACAGAGGGAGGCGCCGCCGCCGCCGCCGCCCGCCCCTTTCCGCTGGGGAGCAGCTGCTGCAGCAGGAGCAGAGCAGGAGACGCGTAGCCGCCGTCGCCGCCGCCGGGGGATGTGGCCGGCGCCTGCCTCTAGCCGCGCCGCCTCTTGAGTACCAGCCGCCGCTGCAGCCGCCGCCGCCGCCTAGCCGTGCGGTGCCAGGCCGCGCCCTCCCCGGGCGCCCGCCGGCTCGCATGCCGAGGGGCTCCGGGGCGTAGCTGCGCGCCCGGCGCCGCCTCCGGGCTCCTTCGGCCCCGCCATGGGCTGCTGCAGCTCCGCCTCCTCCGCCGCGCAGGTGAGGGGCTCCCGCCTCCCGGCCGCCCGCCCGGATGCCTCCCGTGCGCCGCGTCGCGCGGCGGGCGCCCGCCGCCCGATACCTCTCGCTGTCCCCAGCCTCCCCTGAGCGCACCGTGCAGTCCAAAGACCCCCACTCCGCCTTTCCGTCCGCCGGGTCCCGCCGATGCCCGTGCGCTGGCTCCGCGGCTGCCGACTCAAAGGCGCCTCTGCGCGGCGCCTAGTGCGCCCTCAGCTCTTCCCGGCCCCTTCCCCAGTCGGCCCCCTCCTCCCAGTCACACCTGAGCTGCCCGTCCCGCCCGCCTGCAGGTAGAGGCTGCACTGGCGCCTCCTCTGCCCCAGGTGGCATCCCCTTCCCTGTTCTTCCGGGCCTGGCTCCTCTCTTCCACCTCCGTGGAGTCTCCCCGCCATCCGCCGCCCGTTTTCTGTGCTCCTCGCAGGTGTACCCCCAGCAAGAGCTCTTCACCTCTCCCACCGAATTCCAGTTTCTGCTTCATTAGATATTCTGTCCCTTTTCTCTTGCCCGCTGCCCCCTGGCTGGGTTCAGATGGTTTCAGCGGGTCCCGGAGCCCTTCCACGGCCCGCTCCGCAGACCTCGCTTGCTCGCTTGCACCCCATCCCCCCTTAGTGCCGTGACCCGGGCCCCGCGGCCTCCCCGCACTCGGAGGCCCCTGCGGGAGCGCCGACTCTGGGCTGGGAAGGAGATTGGGCACCTGGTGGGTGACGGGAGCGCTACGGAAACTCCCTCTTTGTTGCCAGTGTAACAGGAGGAAGAGGTTCCGAATTTAGTTTTTCTGTGGGCACTGGCTGAATGTTGTCGCTGAGGGCTGAGATGCAGAGATTTCTCTCAGCTTCTACCCTGCCCCCATCCAAATTTCGCCAACCTCCTTCTCTCGGATCCGAGCCCTTAACCTGGGTGGAAATGTTTAGACAACTGTACGAGGATCAAATGTAATAGAACTCGACTACTGGCCACTAATAACTGAGAGGACCTGTTTGTAAATTACCTAATTTAGTGGATTAGCGAGTGTATTTACAAATACTATAAAAAGCAATCAGGAATACTGCATCAAACTGTCTTGTGGTGGTGTATGAAAAATAGGCTCTGACAACGCCTGGGATGTAATCTCACAGTTTCATTAGCGTAGTTTCATTAACTGTGGTCTGTGATTTGTTTGTTTTAGGGGGCAGAAAAGGGCTCTTGTTTTTAGAAATAAAGGATGGTTGGTTCTTGGTGAAGAAAAACGCTAGTTTGGGGGGAAAAAATTCCTCCAGAAAGCTAGCATCTGTGATAATGCCAGAAGTGTTTTTGCTGCTGCTAAATGACTATATATAACTCAGTTTTAAATAACCTGCATACTTGTTCTGAAAATCTGAGATCTGTTAGAGAGAAAATGACTAGAATTGCAGATGAATGGGGGACATTTGTGTTTTATTAGGTATCCATCCTATCATCCTATTCCTCCAGTCTTTTTTTTTTTTTTTTGAGTGTTTGCTTACCCGTTAGCTTTTTTTTTTCCTGCTAGCATTATAGTCAGGCTTTTTGGTGTAGTTAAAGATTCCTATTCAGTTATAATAGCAAAGTAAAACTATACGTAGAGGTGTTAGGAAGGAGAGGCTTGGTATATCAGAGTTTTCATATTAACATATAAAGGTGTAGAATTGCACATAACTTTCAACTGGTTAGGAATTTGTGGGGGTCTAGTTGGGTGCTCTTTAATATTTACTTAAGTATAATTTTCACCAAAAAGGTGTTTTTCAGATTGCCTTTCTTTTCAGAATTGAGTTAATTTACATTCCCTTTTGGTGGTGAAATGCCTTTAAGACAGAAAAGTATTGATAGTTTATGGATAGCTTGTTCAGTGCATGAACAGTTAAATTTGGGAGGGATGGGTGCTGCATCAGAACTCTGCTTTAAAACCGATAGTGGGTCTTGCATTTGTCTAGCTCCACGTCATACTTTTCAGAATGCTATCGTATACGTTTTCTTTTCTTTTACCTCCTCTCACTGTAGAACATGCCTTGTTCCACAGATAAGATGCATGTCATGCACCCAAGGGGTGCATTTTTTTCCTGTGGATTCCTATAACCAATCAACAGCTGTCACATGCTTTTAAGTTCAGCTTTAGGGACTTGTAGTGTTCAGTGGAGCATTGAGGAGCAGGTTTTGTGCCAAAGAGCTGGTGATTTTTTTTTTTTTTTCTTATTTGAGATTTTTGGCATCCTTCTTCATTTGTGAAATGTTACTAATCGGCTGGTATTTTAACTCTCCTTTCAGGAGCATTACCAGTTTTAGAATACTGTTGTTCCTATATGTGTTTTTAAACAAAATAGGGTTGCAACTCCACATCTTCTCCAGCCTCTCTTAGGGGTCTCAAAAGTATTTTCTTCTTTTTTTTGTTTTTCTTCAGACGGGGTTTCGCTTTTGTTGCCCAGGCTGCTGGAGTGCAGTGGTGCGATCTCAGCTCACTGCAACCTCCGCCTCCTGGGTTCGAGCGATTTTCCTGCCTCAGCTTCCCAAGTAGCTGGGATTATAGGTATGCACCAGCTCATCTGGCTAATTTTGTATTTTTGGTAGAGACAGGGTTTTGCCATGTTGGTCAGGCTGGTCTCGAACTCCTGACCTCGGGTGATCTACCCACCTCGGCCTCCCAAAGTGCTGGTATTACAGACATGAGCCACCGCTCCCTATCAGGGGTCTCAAATGTATTTTCACTCAGAATATGTTTGTTTCATGCCTTCTACTGGATTGTAAGCTTCTTGAGCACAGGAACTGTTTTTGTTTTCCTTATTTGTGTATCTACTGCAGTGCCTCACTGTACCTTGTACTTAATAGTTGCTCAGCAGTAGTCACTGGAGGGAATATGTAGACATATATTTGAACCTCTGGCTGGCAAGTGGCATCGAATGTGAATCTAGACCTGACCCATCTACTGTTTGTAAATTCTATGGGCTGGTTGATTAATTTTGCCAAGCTGTCCTCTTCTAAACTCAAACCTGGACTGTTTAAGTTAAAATTTACCTGCCTTTTCTATATCCCTTCCTGTTCTTTCAGTGGTACCATCAGCTTGCAAAATTGTTCAAGGTTTTCCTTTGCTCCTGATGACCTGCTTAATGTGTATGTTTTAGTTGGAGCAGTGGCTACAACATCTTAAAAGAGCTTGTCTGCAAACTCTAATGATAACCTACACAACACATGAAAACAGTGTGCTTTGAGGTAATCTGCAGTTCAGTTTAGCTTTTCTCAGCAGTATCTTCAGCAACTTTAAAGCTCTGGCAGGTTTTATCAATGTAAATAAAGTGCATTTTCTTTTTGTAGCAGGGCTTCACTTTTGAAATATAATTTATTTTCCCTTACAGTCTCTTGCTATGTTGTAGATTCTCATAAAAGAGTTTGTGGTCTTCCAAACTTTGATCTCTTGTAATCTGTCCTGGTATTATTTTCATTTTCTTGGCAGTGTCTGGGTATCATGATTTTCCATCAAAATAATTATACTGTTTTAGGATTTAGATCAAAGAAAAGTGTCACATTCTATACTAGCATTTCATTGCTAGAGGAGCAGATTATTGGCAAAATAATTTGTGCTGTATCAGCTATGTACATCTAGGATCTTAAAAGTGTCTAGTGAGTCAGGGCTCTTAAGGAACTTTTTAAATTATTTTTTAAAAATTAGTGACCATTACAAGTTGTTTACTAATATTGGTAATTGCTCAATACAAACCAACACAGGACAGTCTTTGCCTAAAAGTCTTTTGAGGGGAACGTAAAAGTAAGATAGTCTTGAGTTTCTTTTTACAGTACTAATCCTCCCTAAGGCTCTTAAAATTTATTCCCATCTCCCTATAATTCATTTGTTCTGGTATAACCTGACATAATTTCTATCCTTGTAATGTTAAACTTCAAATTTCACTTGTAAATCTTCAGATTTATTAAATGCTCTTTCCCATTGACAAACCAGTTTGAATGAATCTTTTGAAAGATTACTTAGCAAATTGCCGTAAGTCTTTGTCCTTAATGGCTAGATGATTATTTCTCACAGCAGTGCTTTAGAGGCCAGGAGATTTTGCAAGTTCTGTGAAGTTCTGTGTCCTTCAGTTCTAACCTTAAATGTTGTAAGAGGGATGGAGGAGAATCTTTCAAGTTGAACAAACTGCCGCTTGTCTGTCTAGCGTTAGGAGACATTTGTCCACTGTCTCATCCCATTGTCTTCAAATTGAAGGCTGTATATTTAACTGTCTTTTTGTAGCACTCATATTCTGTTTTGGGAGTAATAAAAAACAATCAGAAGTGGTTTACAAATGCTGGTTAATATTTGCATATGCTAACTGTGCTTTAACAATTTTAATAATACCATCATCTGTATCAGCTTTGTGGAGTTTGAAGTGAGATGGTAAAAATTAAATTTGAAGAGTGTAGTGGGAATTACCCACAGAGACTAAAGTTGCTCAGTTAAATTAAGACCTGCAAAGTAAACTTCATCTAACGGGAACAGAAGTCATGGCATGAAGCCTTTTTTTTCCTTCATCTTCTGAATACTGTGTTGTTAGCATAGAGGATCTACTCCTCAAAATATGTAAATCAAAGTTAATTTCGAAATTGGAAAATAATGTAGAAATGGTAATTTTTTTTTTTTTTTTGAGCCAGAGTTTGGCTCTCATCGCCCAGGCTGGAGTGTGGTGGCATAATCTCGGTTCACTGCAACCTCTGCCTCCCGGGTTCAAGTGATTCTACTGCCTCAGCTTCTCAAGTAGCTGGGATTACAGGTGCTCGCCACCACACCCAGCTAATTTTTTTTTTTTTTTGTATTTTTAGTAGAGACGAGTTTTCACCATGTTGGCCAGGGTGGTCTCGAACTCCTGACCTCAGATGATCCACCCGCCTCAGCCTCCCAAAGTGCTGGGATTACAGGCATGAGCCTCCATGCCCGGCCAATTCCCAAATCTTAAATTGCAGTTTACTAATTTTTTTTTTTTTTTTTTTGTGAAGTAGGGTCTTGCTTTGTCACCCAGGCTAGAGTGCAATGGCATGATCATAGCTCACTGCAGCTTTGATCTTCTGGGCTCAAGTGATCCTCCCACCTCAGCCTCCTGAGTAGCTGAGACTATAGGCACGAGCTCACGCCTGGCTATTTTTTTAATGTTTTAAATTTTTTGTAGAGACAGGATCCCACTATGTTGCCTAGGCTGGTCTCAAACTCCCGGGTTCAAACTATGCTCCTGCCTTGGCCTCCCAAAGTGCTAGGATTATAGGTGTGAGCCACTGCACCCGGCCTACTTTTTTATCTTTAGAAAATGTTTACTTTTCTAAAGATAAAATTTTGAATTAAGGAATTTCCAAGTTAAATTTCACACCACCATTTTGAACTTTCTACAGTTGCCATCTGGAGAGTAGCATGGTACAGCAAAACTAGTCCACTTAGAATGCTTCCAGGCTTAACAAATACTATACTATCAAATACTATTTGATGTGTTAACAGTACAGTCATTTAAAAATGTTATTGGCCTGGGAAAATTATTCATAAAAATATATTCTACTACCAGTAATTGGTTGATAGTTGTTTTTCTATGCTCCCCTTTCCCCTGCTCAAACTGCAAAGAAAGAATGAAATATTTCAATTTTGTAATTTTGCCTCAGATTTTTGGGACTATAGGGGATATATGAGATAAACCTACTATCACTTTTCTGTTGATCTAAACTAGAATGTAGAGATATGAAGTAGACTGAGGTCAGAGAGATACATTATGAGGTAGCTGGGATTAGAAACCTGCTTAATCTCTTAATCTCTTGTCCTTTCTGTAGTACAGTACTATTAATTCTTAATGTCTCAGGCTTTCTTTTCCTTTCATCCTTGGCTGCACATTGGAATCACTTGGAGAAGTTTACAAATGTTATGGAAGTGATGCCTGGGTCCTATTCCCAAAGATTCTTATGTATTGGTCCAAGACTGCGGGCTGGGCATCAAAAAAAGTTTTTTTTTCTGTTTTATAAGTGCTTCTTGCAGAGCAGGGCTAACCCATAATAGTACACCCAGAGTAGCCAGCATCAAAACTTTTAAAAGTTCCCCTGGTAGCCCTCGTGTGTCACCAAGTTTGAGAGCCACTCTTCCTTACCCTTTCTCTAGGTAATTTCATCCCTCGTATGGCTTCAGTTACAGTCTGTATGTTAACAGTTCCCAAACTAAATTACTGTCCTGGTCGCTGATCCTTATATCCAACTGATTAATTAGCATTTACACTAGAATATTGTACAGGCAACTCAAACTCAGCATGTTTAAATCTGTCCTCAAAATCGTACCCCTCACCCCCGGCTTTTTCAGTACTTTATCTCTGGTTCACCGAATGATACCAATGCCCTGGTTGTGGAAACTGGAGACTCGAGTCCTGTAGGGAACCTGCCTCTCACTCTTCTATATCTAGTCACCACATCTTGCCTCTTTGACCTTCTCAACGTCACTGCCAGCACTCCGGTTCAAGCCTCTGTCATCTCCAGCCCAGTACCTTGGTTACAGATCTCTCCGTAACTGTTCATGCTCCCTTCTAATTTTTCTTCGTATTGCAGTCTTGGTGATCTTTGAAAAATCCCAAGCTAATTGTGTTCCTCTCCTACTTAAAACCCTTTAATGGTTTCCCATTGCTCTTAGGACAAAGACCAGAACCCTTGACCCTGGACAACAAGACCCTGTGTGTGGCTGTTCTCCATCTCTCTATAGGGTCACCTTGTGGTGTGCTTTTCTTTGCTCATTGCACTGCAGCCTCACAGATTCTTCAGTTGGTTGTATTCCTTCCTCTTAGAGGGCTTTTGCATATGTGGTTCACTTGTCTAGGAGGCTCTTTGCTTTGCTCCCTGGCTTTTGGCTGGTTGCTTTAAGTTTCAGTCTGAAAGTCACTTCCTTGGAAAAGCCTTTTCTGATCCCTTCAAACTAGGCCATGTCTCCTCATTAAACTCTCATAGCCTTATGTGTTTTCCCTGTGAGCACTTAAAGCAGTAAACACGTAATTTTACAGTTAATATTAATGTCTAGACTAGGTGGCGGCAAACTACAGCCCATGGGCCAAATCTGACCTGCTACCTGTTTTTTATGGCTTACGAGCTAAGAATGGTCTTTACGTTTTTAAGTGGTTGAAACAAATCAAAAGAATATGATTTCATGAGAAATTTATTTAATAAATTATGAAATTTTAATTTCATTCACAAGGTTTTATTGGGACACAGTCATATTAATTCATTTACTTGTCTATAGCTGCTTTCATATGACAGTGTCAGAGTTGAGTAGTTGTGACAGAGGCCTTATGGCCTGCAAGCATAAATATTTACTCTGTGTCCCTTTACAGAAAATGTTTGCTGACCCTTGCTCTAGGCTGAGTTGATGAAGAGAGGGGCCGTGTTTGCTTTGTTTATTGCCATCTTGGTGCTTAGCTGGTACCAATACATGGTAGGTACTCATGAAATATTTGAATGAATTAACAGATATTCTGTTTCCCTCCATGGATAGAGGTGATTGAACTCCTACCTTAGAACACTGGGGTTTTAAAATTCATTATAAGAATTTTAAAACGATTCTTCTTTGGAAGACTCTTAACAGCATGTTCAGGGCTCTCTTAAGCAGCTTGTCTGTTGAAGGTATACATGTCACGTATGGAGCAAGTATACTTATAAAGGTGTAAGTTACTGGGTCAAGGTGGACAGGAAAGGGCTAGTGCGCTCAAGTAATGGACCAGTCAGATTTACAGTGGTGATGTTTTTATAGCAGGCACAAATGGGTGAGACTTTATGGCAAGCGTTGTAAAGAAAACGTGTTTGAGCTGGTGAAAAATTTAAGTCATTAAAGAGTTAGACATTGTTATCTCTGCTGTGGGAATTCACTCTGTGAAGATGGTTAAAGTTTTTGACACAGTAATATTTCCTCCTTTTTGATACTTTTTGTTTTCTAATTTATTTGGAATATAGCATAGCATAATGTTCCAATTTTGAATTTATGCATTGTGTAAAATTTAGTAATTTTTTTGGCAATTTAAAAAACAGATTTACATTTTTCAGTATGTTTTATTATACTCAATAGAGGGATGCCAGTTTTTCCCCTCTGGGGGACTCCTTTGTAATTGTATAATATGATAATGTTGTATAATAGGATTCATTTAACAAACATTTGGTTGATAAACCCCTGGAATTTATTTTTTTGTGAAAATATTATTATTCCTTTTAGTTACTCTCTACAATATCCCACAACCAGATATTTAGACTTATTTAGTAGGAAAACCCTTAAAAGCAACTTTTATTCAAATTTTTAAGGTTGCCAGAAATGCTGAAAATTATTAAATGGAAGTGTTTGACTTCTGGATATGTTTATAATATGTAAAGTAAAAAAACCAGCAGGAAGATGGAAAAATTGGAAACATGATTACTTCAAGATATTTAAGTAGCAGGGAAGGTATTAAAGTTTGTTTGTTTTTGTAGATTTGTGATAATATAATCATGATTATGATCTCAGAAAATTCTTCATTTTGAACTACTTATGATGTTACAGCTATAAGAAATAAAAAAGGCTGGGTTTGGTGGCTCACACGTATAATCCCAACACTTTGGGAGGCTGAGGCAGGAGGATTACTTGAAGCCAGGAGTTCTAGACCATCCTGGGCAATATAGTGAGACCCATCTCTACAAAAAATAGCAAAACAAATTAGCCAGGTATGGTGTCGTGTGCTTTTGGTCTCAGCTACTCAGGAGGCTGAGGTGGGAGGAAGATCTCTTGAGTCTGGGAGGTTGAGGCTGCATTGAGCTATGATCGTGCCTGTATTCCGGCCTGGGTGGCAGAGCCAGACCCTGTCTTTATTTTTTTTTGAGACAGAGTCTCGCTCTGTTGCCCAGGCTGGAGTGCAGTGACACAATCTCAGCTCACTGCAATCTCCGCCTCCCGGGTTTAAGCGATTCTCCTGCCTCAGCCTCCAAGTAGCTTGGACTACAGGTACCCGCCACCACACCTGGCTAATTTTATGTATTTTTAGTAGAGATGAGGTTTCTATGTTGGCCAGGCTGGTCTCGAACTCCTGACCTTGTGATCTGCCTGCCTCGGCCTCCCAAAGTGCTGGGATTATAGGCGTGAGCCACTGTGCCTGGCTGAGACCCTGTCTTAAACAAAGAAACAAACAAATAATAATAATAAAAAAAACCCTTAAATCCAAATAGCTAAAACATTAAGGAAAATTGATTATCTCCTATAGGTCAAGGGGTAGGGTAGCTTTCAGGTTGGTTAGTTCAGTGGCTTGATGTCAGCAAGGACGTAAGTTCTCTCCTTGTTTCTTTTTTGTCATTTTACGGAAGGTAGCTTTTTCTTAATTAGCTCCCCTCAAGATCCCAAGATGGCTATGGCTCTTCTTACCGTCTTTTGCTGAGCTGACAATCTCCAGTGGTTTTCCTTTCATGGGAATTAGAGAGGGCTGCACACTTATCCCTAAACAAGCTCTAACAAGAGGAAGGCAAAGGACTCTGCAATTGATTTAGAGTAACCAGGACTTCCCTCTGAGTCAAGTGAGGGGCAGGGCAACACCGGAACAAAAGGAGGACTTTGCCAGCAAGGTGGCGGCAGGGATGCAGGATTGGGCGTGGTGACTGGGTAGGCAGCCAATACTATCTGCTATGGTTTTGCCATTTTCTTTTGTCTTTAAATCAGACTTCTATAGTGTTTCCTAACATTTTACTTATAGCCCCATTATGAACTTCACAGTTCGTAGTTCAAAGTCACACAGTTAGTTATCTTCTTGTCCTAGTGATGCTGCTCAAGCCATTGCTGAAACCCCTGTCTTTCTTTTTTGCTCACCCCCACTGCATCTTTCCCATTCTGAGCTAAGGACAGCTTCAGATGAAGAAGAGCATTTGAGGTTGGAATAATGGTTAAGTGGTGAGTTAGTATTCTTGCAGGCCATGGTCCTTCAAGAGCACCTTGGCTGTTAGTATAACCTCTTCTCTCTCTAGCTTACAATCTCCTTTTCTACCTCTTTTGAAGTCTCACTTCTGTCTGTGTTTATCTCTGTTTCAAAATTGAGTATCAAAAAACTGATAGTTTTTATTTTCCTTATTTTTTTTCCACCTCCAGCTGATACACTTAAGGAGCTGTAATAATGAGTACAATCCACTAAAGAGGGAAAAAAAGAGAGCCTCTGTTTTCTTTTGTTTTAACCTGCTTACTTTCAGGTTTTTTTGTTTTTTTTTTTTTTTAATAATTAAACTGAAAAGTCATGTCATTATTTAGAATATCTCTGATATAAAGAGTTCTCACAGTATATAAAATGCATCCTTGCAATACATAATTTACAGAAGGAAATAAACCAGTGTGTAAATATGTTCAATCTTGTTAACAACCAAATTAAAGCATAGAGGCATCCTTTCACAGCTGTAACTTTGGTAATAGTTAACAAAATAATATTAATTGCCCAAGTGGTTTTGACTCAAATATACTTTATTGATTTGCTGAATAAATTGGAATGACCCTCTTGAGATACATTAAGAGCCATAAAAAAGTTAACATCCTTTATTTGGTAATTCTAAAGTTGAGTAATGCTATATGTAAGAATCTTTTTATTGTAGCATTATTTATAATGGCAAAAAGTTTAATTTAAAACATCATATATTTGCTGTAAAACTTTCTTCCTGTTTCTTAATAAAATCCATTTGAATTTAGTCTGTTATACTTCCTCATTGCCAACTAAATGGTCCTGCCTTAGTCATTGAGTAGCCTTTTGCCTTCCTCAGAAGTCCTTTCACTATTTCTTCTCTAAACAGCTGTTAGAATCCAGAGGATTGAACATCATTGTGTACTGGCAGGAGGGTGGGCTCTATAGCCAGACTATATCAATTTGAATCCCACCTTATCACTAGTTGAGTTATTTGGACCACATTCTTTAACCTTTGGTGCCTGAGTTTCACCAGCTATAAAATATAAACAATAATAAAACTTGCCTCAGATACTTTTAGCAAACTGCACAACTCATGAATGTATCTCAGAAATTACAATATTAATGTAAACTAAATCTCCCTGATGTTCTAATAACCATTAATCCTTCCCTTAAAAATGTTTTTGTGTTTGAGTTTTGGAAAGGTACCCTGACTTCCAAAAATTTTATTTTTATTTTTGAGACAGGGTCTTGCTCTGTCACCCTGGCTGGAGTGCAGTAGTGGATCTCGGCTCACTGCAACCTCCACCTCCCAGACTCAAGCAATCCTCCCACCTCAGCCTCCCGAGTAGCTGGGACTGCAGGCATGTACCACCATGCCTGCTAATTTTTGTATTTTTTGTAGAGATGGAGTTTTGCCATGTTGCCCAGGCTGGTCTTGAACTCCTGAGCTCAAGTGATCTGCCCACCTCAGCCTCTCAAAGTGCTGGAATTACAGGCATGAGCCACCACACCCAGCCTGGTTTATATTCTTGTGGTAATTTTATTGTGAGACAGAGTATCATTTAAGAGTTAGATCCAGCTGCATATGACAGAAAACTGAAAGAAACTAGATAAACCAGATAAAAATGTATTTCTTACCCAAAGTAAGTCCAGAAGTAGTGTTTCAGGGCTAATATGAGACTCCTCGTTTATCAAAGACCCACTCTCCTTTTGGTTTCATTATGTAAGCATATGGCTTTCATTCTTAAGATTACAAAATGGCTGGAAACTCTTTTTTTTTTTTTTTGAGACAGGGTCTCTCTCTGTCACCCAGGTTGGAGTGCGGTGGTGAGATCTCAGCTCACTGCAGCATCAATCTCCTGGGCTCAAGCTATCCTCCTGGTTGAGCTTCCCAAGTAGCTGGGACTACAGGCATGCACTACCACGCCCAGCTAATTTTTGTATTATTTTTATTTTATTTTATTTTATTTTATTTTATTTTATTTTATTTTATTTTATTTTATTATTTTTTGAGATGGACTCTTGCTGTGTCACCCAGGCTGAAGTGCAGTGGCGTGATCTCAGCTCACTTTAACCTCCACCTCCCAGGTTCAAGCATTCTCCTGCCTCAGCCTCCTGAGTAGCTGGGATTACAGGTGCCCACCACGACAGAGGGCTAATTTTTGTATTTTAGTAGAGGTGGGATTTCACCATGTTGGTCAGGCTGCTCTCGAACTCCTGACCTCAGGTAATCCACCCGCCTTGGCCTCCCAAAGTGCTGGGATTACAGGTGTGAGCCACTGCGCCCGGCCTTTTTTTGTTTTTGTTTTTGTTTTCTTTGAGACGGAGTTTCGCTCTTGTTGCCCATACTGGAGTACAGTGGCATGATCTCAGCTCACTGCAACCTCCGCATCCCGGGTTCAAGCGAGTCTCCTGCCTCAGCCTCCCAAGTAGCTGCGATTACAAGCATGTGCCACCACGCCTGGCTAATTTTGTATTTCTGGTAGAGATGGGGTTTCACCATGTTGATCAGGCTGGTCTCAAACTCCTGACCTCAGATGGTCTGCCCGCCTTGGCCTCCCAAAGTGCCGAGATTACAGGCGTGAGCCACTGTGCCTGGCCTGTATTTTTTTGTAGAGACGAGGTCTTGTCTCCCTATGTTGCCCAGGCTGGCCTCAAATTCCTGGGCTCAAGGGATCCACCCATCTTGGCCTCCGAAGTGCTGGGATTACAGGCATGAGCTACCGTGCCTGGCTCCCAGATTGTAAACTGTGTCTAGAAAATGAGTGCAAAGAGAGAAACAAACATAAATAATTAGAGGCTAAATTGGGTGGCAAGGAGTTCAGGGGACGGGGAAACCAAGAGAGGAAAGAATAGTTGGGGAGTTGGCTTCCTGAAAATGATTCTCCAGCAAAAGATCTGGTCTGGAAGAATGGGGTTTAGAAAAAGTGAAGGGCAGACAGATTTTAGTAGAAAGCAGGGAGAGGAATTCCAGTGTAAAGAACAGTTGGTCAAAGGCAAGGAAGCAGACAATAACTTGCTGCTTGTCAGTATGGAAAGGAGACCTGACCAGAGTGGAGTGAAGAGATGTTATGTTGCATTTGGGGAAGGCATTCATATTTGAAGGGGAGGAAAATGGGCAGCCATGGAGGAGTTTTCAGAGTGGTTTAAGGAAGATTAATTTGACAGCATAACTGCACCTGAATGGGAGAAATAGAAGGCAGAGGCCGCCCAGGGAGCTGTTCAGTAACTCATACCAGTGTAAACAGGAAACAGAGAAGAGTTATTGTGGAGTCAAAATAAAATAGACCTTCCTGACTTAATCTGGATATGTGGGATGAAAGAGAAGGAAAGAACAGATGTTTTGAACGCCACATCATGGAAGAAGGGTATTATAATGGCTAGACATGTTAGTTGAGATGGGGACTAGTTTGTGGAGAGGGGAAGATGAATTCAATTTTGTATGGACTGACTGGAGGTGGTACTGATATTAATACCTCCAGGCGGTATTTTCCATAGGGAATTGAAGACCCAGAACTGGATTTCAGAAAATGCTTTAAGTCATGAGCATATAGAATATAGAGAACACCAGTCATTGCTGGGGATTTACTGTGTGGTAGCCTCTGGGCTAAGCGCTTTACATGCAGTTCTCATTTTATTCTCATAACTCTGAGGTGGGTCCCAGTTAGCCTCATTTTACAGAGGAGGAAACAGAAACTCAGAAAGGCTAGGTACCTTGACTAGGATCGCCCAAGTAGTGTAAAACTGGGAGTAGTTCCAAGCCTGTGCACTTCCTGCTGTATTTCCCTCTGCTGTTCCAAGGACTGCTATATTAAATGGTAGATTGAATGTACCTTAGATACCACTTTTTTGTCTCTTAATTTCAGAGGTTGTGTGTGCTGTTTGCTGTTTGTTGTTTTGTTTTGTTTTTTGGGATGGAGTTTTGCACTGTTGCCTAGGCTGGAGTGCAGCGGCGCAGTCTTGGCTCACTGCAACCCCTACCTCCCGGATTCAAGGGATTCTCATGCCTCAGCCTCCCAAGTAGCTGGGATTATAGGCGCCAACCACAACACCTGGCTAATTTTTGTTTTTGTTTTTGTTTTTTTTTTTTGGTAGAGAGGGGGTTTCACCATGTTGGCCAGGCTGGTCTCAAATTCCTGACCTCAGGTGATCCGCCCGCCTAGGCCTCCCAAAATGCTGGCATTACAGGTGTGAGCCACCACGCCTGTTTGTTCTCTCTTTAAAGTCTATGTGTAGGTTGGTTTTAAATCAGTGCACCTCAAACTATAGAGGCCAGGGTACGACAGTTTGGAGCAGAGTCTGAAAGTGGTGGTTATAAACTTCAGACTCTAAGTAAGGACCAATGGCTACTGTGCGTATCCTCCAGGGCCCTTCCATATTTTCTTCTAAGAACTAAGTCTGAACAAGTCTGTCATGACAGCAAGTTTACTACTTGTTACTGTAATTGTGTTCTTTCCCCATAATTCACCAATTCCTGAAAATACACTTTTAAATAAGTAATGGATATTTATATGTTTAGTCAGTCTTTGGAGATTCATGGCCTTCGAAAGGGTTAATATAATTGATGCTTGTGTTATTAATATTGAGTGCCAACAAGGCTCTGGAGAGCAGTAAGAGAGGAAAGGGTGAAGAAAATGGCCTCAATAAAGTTGACTCTGGAGCACAAATGATTAGTGTGCACATTAAGATCAAATTACGAAGGCAGAGATTCCTACCATCAGAGCAAGAGCTGGAATTTTTAAAATAATAAACTTCATTTTAAAAACTCAGCATATTTAAGAGAGTTTTATTCCTTGCTTGCTAAGCCTCAAAGTTTTTCCAAATCTATTTTGCATGTGGTTTTGTATTTTCATGACAATTCTGAAACCACAGGTGTTGGAAGACAATTCTAAAGATACCAAGTTTTAAGTATATTTTGACATATTTTGAAACTAGCCATAGTTTTAATCAAGAAAAACATTTTTCAGTGTACACTGCTGATAGAAGCAGATTTCAGTTATGAAAGTTTGGAAATAATACTTTAATAAGGCACTTCATTTTAAAACTGAAAGCAATTCTAGTTTGCTGCTAGTTTAAAAAGTTTATAGTTTAATGTGATCTGAGAAAGTAAACCAAGACCAAGTGGAAACACTTATTTATCTTGAGGTTGCAACAAGCAAATTGAGCTGGGAGACTTCTGGGTGAGGAAGGATCTGCTACTTAAATCAGGCTCTAAGATATGATAGATGGTGCTCTACATGCCATCACTTTGAAAGATTTAAATGTTTCTTATGTAAGAATATCTTAATCAGGATTTCTCCCAAGTATGTGCTTCCAAAGCACCAGGGCTACAAGGTGTTCTGCCAAAAAAAGGGTTCTGAGGTCAGAAAAGTTTGAGAGGTTCTTCTTGCTCACTTCATACCACCCCCTCACTGGCCTCCCAACCCCATTTGAAAAGTAATCATGCATATTAACATATTTAGGGTCATTGCCCTGCCTCCCAGGAAACCAGTTTAACTTTGCTTAACTGGCCTTTATTGGACTTATCTGTCCTTTAAAATTTTTTTCACTATATCTTGAACTGCTCTCCTACACAGCACACTTTGAGTAACACTGCTTGAAATACTGCTTCTCAATTTCATTCTCCCAAATGACAACAAAAGTGATTATGGTGAAACCAGAAGCAACAATAAGGTTGTTGGATCAGGTGACTCTTAACTAAGAATCACTCAGCTCTGAAACTGACTTTAAGTGCATCACAAACTTCATGTTCTTCTTTAAGATATTGGCAAAAGTAGATAAATTTCAAGTCACTCAAGTATATTATAACTTAAAACCCTTTCACGTGAATCATTGTTTCTCAGATTAGTGATTTGAGATCTCCAAGGGATATTAGGTAGGGTAAATGATTGACAAAAGAATCCTTCAAGTTTGAAACTTGATAATATGAACTGCTATGGGGTCAGCTGGGCCAACAGCAAGAAGGGGAGCTATGATCTGCACTGGAGGATTTTCTCCTTTCTTCAAGTCTGCTGCAGCAGAGGGGCAGTTACAGTTATCACTTAAACTCCAAATGACCATTCGGAGATGGAATGCTATCTTTGGTTGGAGAAAGAATTGAGGATAGGGATGATGGGCCAAGCAAATAATAGATCCTCAATAAATGTTTATTGAATACATATGGAACAGGGATGGAGTATTCAGAGACTAAACATTTAGTTTGTGGTGCTGATACTTGTCAAGATTATGGTTAAAACAAATACAACTTGCCAATGGAGAGAAATGGGAATGAACCTGAAAATTAAAACTAGCTGCCGTTCAAACTGTTTAATTCTGGTGGGCTTTTGAATTCTACCTTGCTAGCATGTGTTCCTAGGTTATAATGAAGTCTTGGTGTATACATTAATATTAACCAATCAGGAAAAAAGGCACATCATAAGCTAGAACCCTCTGGGCCTCATCAAAACCTCAGTATGACAGGTAATCAGCACTGGACGATAGATTTATTATATAAGAATGAGGGCCTTCTTTCCCTTCTGCCACACCGCCTTCCCCCATTTCCCTGCAACACACCTCTTGTTTCTGGCCCACAGAGCATAATGAAAGCTCTTCTGGCCCATTTTCTCAGTGCCTGCCTGGGAGTAGACTGGGTAAAGCTCCAGTCTTAAGTATTTTGTTCAGAGTGTGACCTGGAAGATGACAAGCAGCACTGCTTCTGCCCATTGCAGCAATGAGGAAACTCAGGACAAAGGGAAGATGCTGAAAAGTAAAATAAAAGAACCGAGAATATCGGTAGAATAAAAAGAGAATCCCAAGCTGGCTGCATGCTTTGGTTCTGTTCAATGTTCATGGGCTGGTGTGCTGTCAGGCTAAGTACTGGGCTCAACAAAGAATGAGACTTTTCCTTCTGTAAGTGTGCAGTCTGTTAAGGGAGATGCTACGGAGGGGTGTAGCTTTGTCAGTGTGCCAGAGCCCAGCTGAATCTGTGTTTCTCTCTCTCTCTTTTTTTTTTTTTTTTTTTTTTGAGAGGGAGTCTCACTTTGTCGCTCAGGCTGGAGTGCAATGGCACGATCTCGGCTCACTGCAGCCTCTGCCTCCCAGGTTCAAGTGATTCTCCTATCTCAGCCTCCCAAGTAGCTGAGACTACAGGCGCCCGCCACCATGCCCAGCTAATTTTATTTTTTTATTTTTAGTTGAGACGGGGTTTCACCATGTTGATCGGGTGGTCTCGAACTCCTGACCTCAGGTGATCCGCCTGCGTTGGCTTCCCAAAGTGCTGGGATTACAGGTGTGAGCCACCACGCCTGGCCCTGTGTTTCTTATATAGCTAAATATTAGTATAGTTTACAAGGTGTAAAACACTGATAATTCCTTGCTAGATTTTAAACTAATTTTCAAAACTAAAAACTAGAAATACAAAAGTGCCCTAAAGGAACATAGATGTTATTTTTGAAGTTTGGTTTGTGTTTGTGCTTCACTGGTAAGGATGAAGTTCAGTAAACTTTAGGATAAAGTTATTGTGTCTGTAGGCATGACAGCATTTTATTATACAGAGTGAAAAAAATACTGTCCTTGAGTAAGAAAATAACAAAGCTTCAGATGCCTGTATGCAAGTCACAATGGCTTTTGAGGCAGTCCCATAGAAAAGATTGTACCTATAATATGGGTAATATTTTAATTTTCATGTTGAAATGACCAGCTTTTAAGCTAATAAATGAGTTTTCTTCTTTGATAGAGCAGATTCTAGAAATTTTAAAGTAGAACACATCGAAAGTATTCTTCTGTCGTTGTTGACTAACCTATGGTGGCTCTTTTGTTGCTCTTATGTGTTTATGACTTAGTCATGTATCTCTGCCCTGTTACCCTGCCAGGAAATCCATGTGCTCTTGCCATAGTCCCAAAGTCTCATACCTAACTGGGCACAGTGACCTGTTTAGTGTTCCATGGCCATGGACTAACTACAGGGTCCAGAATGGATTCAGGGACACCCAAGTATTCAATTTGTTTCCTACCACTACATCAGACCACCTTTCCATTTATCTTCCAGCTTTCTCCCATTCAGACATACATTTTCTGTTTATGCTCTTTAAGTTTTTAAATCTCATTTGGTTCCAAAAATGTTTTAGGTAATTTTTAATAAAATGTAAATATATTTAAGACTTTTGAAATGAAAAGCCAAAAGCTGAAAGGAGGTGGAGGTGGGATAAAAGGAAAAAGAAGCACAAATGTACCGAGTGCCTGAGCTTCTTCACCTACCAGTGTTTCTAGTCCTATTTTAGAATGATACTGATTCAAAGGAAATTGTCACATGGAATCCTTTTACAGAATTACACAACTGTCAGGGGCTTAAGAGGTCTACCAAGGTAGCCATGAATTTTATGTCACATACTCTACGTGGATTTTGTTCAGTCTTTGTTTAAACACTTCCAGCAACAGATAACTTACTGCTTCCTGAGGCATTTGTTCTACATTCAGGCAGTTATTAGAAATTTCATTTTGCACTACCGAGCTCTGTGTCCATGTAACTTCATTGTTCTGATTCTGCACCCATTAGCCAAACAGAATAAAAAACCGAAATTGGCCTTTAGTGTGTGCCAAGGTATGTGTGTGTGTTTTAAAGTTAAACACCTTTAGTTTTTACAACCATGTCTGAATGTCAGACTTTCAGAAACTTTACTGTTCTGGGCCACTTCTTTACTTTACTTTTATGCTTTCATGATTAAATCTATGTAATTTTTATTTTTATCAGTTACACATGTGTGTATTTTTTTTTTTTTTTTGAGATGGAATTTCACTCTTGTTGCCCAGACTGGAGTGCAATGGCGCGATCTTGGCTCACTCAACGTCCACCTCCCGGGTTCAAGTGATTCTCCTGCCTCAGCCTCCCTAGTAGCTGGGATTACAGGCACCCGCCACCATGCCCAGCTAATTTTTTGTATTTTTAGTAGAGACAGGGTTTCACTATGTTGGCCAGGCTGGTCTTGAACTCCTGACCTCAGGTGATCCACCCGTCTCAGCCTCCCAAAGTGCTGGGATTACAGATGTGAGCCACTGCGCCCAGCTCATATGTTTGTATTTTAAAGAGTTAAGCATTTCTAGGGCTTGTTATTTTAAAAAGCTCCCCACCCTCCCCATTTTCTGCTGCCCTGAGACCACCACTTTTAAATCTTTAATTCTTTTGCTTTTCCCCCTATATATCTTTAATATGCTTATACTGCTACCTCCTCGCTTTTCAATTTTTGACATTAATTTTGGACTCCACTGTAGAAGATAAAGATTGAGCTGTCTTCCAACACCATCCTTTGCCCTACCCTGTGCACCTACTTCGGGTTGCCCTTATCCTTCTGCTGCAGATATATCATCATAACTTTGTTTGGATCAATGTTCAGTCTTTTTTGTTTGTTTGTTTGAGATGGAGTCTACTCTGTCACCCAGGCTGGAGTGCAGTGGTGTGATCATAGCTCACTGCAGCCTCAACCTCCCAGGCTCAAGTGATCCTCCCACCTCAGCCTCCTGAATAGCGGGGACCACAGATTTGCACCACCACGCCTAGCTGATTTTTAAAAATTATTTTGTAGAGATGAGTTCTCATTATGTTTCCCAGGAGGGTCTCAAACTCTGGGGCTCAAGTGATCCTCCTGCTTTGGCCTCCTGAAGTGCAGGGATTACAGGCGTGAGCCCTCGCACCCTGCCTAATGTTTAGTCTTCATCTTATGACTAAGTGGTTGCTCTTAACAGCCGAGTCATGTAGTATTTCATCATTTGTCACTCTTGGAGATCGTGGTTGTCTTGTTCTACTGTCTACCCAGCTTTCTATTAATATGCACTTATAACTAATTGGCTTATAAACTCTCACCTAGTTGTGTGACTCTCCTTTGAGTAAGCTCAGATACCTTAGATATTCTTTCAGTTTCAATTTCCTGAATAGATCTCTCCCATACCTCCAAACTGGGCTGGATACTCTTCAGGCCTGCTTTTTTACAAAGCTGTCAATTTAAGATCTCCCTTCACATCATACCTGGAATTTTTTTTTTTTTTTTGAGATGGAGTTTTACTCTTGTTGCCCAGGCTAGAGTGCAAAGGTGCGATCTCGGCTCACCACAACCTCTACCTCCTGGGTTCAAGTGATTCTCCTGCCTCAGCCTCCCGAGTAGCTGGGATTACAGGCATGCGCCACCACGCCTGGCTAATTTTGTATTTTTAGTAGAGACGGGGTTTCTCCATGTTGGTCAGGCTGGTCTCGAACTCCTGACCTCAGACAATCTGCCCACCTTGGCCTTCCAAAGTGCTGGGATTACAGGTGTGAGCCACCGTGCCAGGCCCATTCTTTCTTGTATTGGATTCCCAATTATCTGGATCCCATGTGCTTTTTTAGTTTATTTTTTAATTTACATACGGTACAATTCACTTTTTGTTCTACAGTTGTATGAACTTTGACAGACGCATGGCCTTATGGAGCCACCACCACCAGTAGCAAGATACAGAACAGTTCTCACTTCCAAAAATTCCCTTGAGCTGCCCCTTTGTCATCAGATCACTCCTCTACCCTTGGCAACCACTGATCTATTCCTGTAGTTTTGCTTTTTCCAGAATGTCATATAAATGGAATCATACAGTATTGTAAACCTTTTGAGTTTGGCTTCTTTTCTTCAGTGTAATGCATTTGAGATGCATCCATGCTATTGCATGCATCAATAGTTTGTTTTTATGGCTAAGTAGTATTCCATTATATGAATATATCATAGTTTATTCACCAGTTGAAGAACACGGGGTTGTTTCCAGTTTGGGATGATTATTAATAAAGCTCCTGTGAACACTTCTATGCAGTGTGAATGTTTTCATTTATCTTTGGTAACTATCTGGGAGTGGAATTGCTGGGTTGTATGGTAAGTGAATGTTTATAAGAATCTGCCAAACTGTTTTCCAAATGGGCTGTACCATTGTGCATTCCCATGAGCAACGTATAAGAAGAGTTCTAATTGTTCCATATCCTCGTGAGCACTTGGTATTGTCAGTTTATTTTTTAAATTGTTGGCATAGACGTTTAGTGATATCCCACTGTGGTTTTAATTTGCATTTTCCTAGTGACCAGAGATGTTGAACATCTTTTCATGTACTTATTTAACATCTGTATATCTTTCTTGGTGTTGTATCTTTCGAATTATTGCTCTCTCTCTCTCTTTCTCTGTGTGTGTGTGTTAAGAGACATGGTCTAACTCTGTCACCCAGGCTGGAGTGCAGTGGTGCAATCATAACTCACTGCAGCCTCAAACTCCTGGGCTCAAACAGTCTTCCTGTCCTAGCCTCTCAAGTAGCTAGGCCTATAGGTGTGTGCCACCGTACCTGGCTAATTTTTATTTATTTTTTATTTTTATGTAGAGACGGGGTCTCACTATGTGCCCAGGCTGGTCTCAAACTGCTGGCCTCAACCGATCCTCCTTTCTTGACCTCTCAAAGTGCTGAGATTACAAGTGTGAGCCACCATACTTGGCCTTCATTGCTTATTTAGCAGAGGGGTTTTGTGGTATAAGTGAGTTCGCTTCTCATCTTTTCCCACCACTGGCTCGGGAATGAATTATGCTTTTGATATCATAGCTAGGAACACTGCCTAGTTCAAGGTCACAAATATTTTCTCCTATGTTTTATTCTAAAATTTTCTAGTTTTACATTTTACACTTAGGTCTATTATCCATTTTGCCAATCTTTATATAAGGTTTGAGGTACAGGTTGAGTTGGTTTTTTGTGTGTGTGTATGAATATCCATTTATTTCAGTGCAATTTATTGACAAAGACTATGTTTTCCATTGAATTGCCTTTGTATCTTTCTCAAATATCAACCATATATGTGTGGATCTATTTCAGAACTTTCTGTTTGGTTTCATCCATTTGTTTGTCTGTCTTAATACTAGTACTGTATGGTCTTAATTATTGTGGCTTTATAGTATATATTGAAATCAGGTTATGTGAGTCCTTTAACTTTTTGCTTCCTTTTCGAAGTTATTTTGACTATTATAGTTCTTTTGCCTTCCCCTATACATTTTAGAATCAGCTTGTTAATATCTACAAAAAATTTTGCTGCGATTTTGATTTGGCTTGCATTGAAATGCATGGATCCATTAGGGAAGAATTAATTGTCAAATTAATACTGAGTCTTCCAATCTATGAATGTGATGTAGTTCTCCATTTATTTAAGCCTTCTTTGAGTTTTTTTTTCTCCCCATCAGTGTCTCTGTACTGGTGTTATTTTTCTTGGTTTATTCCCTTGATTTGGTAGACCACCTCCTTCAGTAGCTTACTGAGAAAGGCTCCATGAGGGAAGTTTGTTGACACCTGGCATGTTTTTATTTTTATGTCACATATGTAATAGTTGAGTGGATACAGAATTCTAGGTTGGAAATTATTTTTCCTCAGAATTTTAAATGAGTTGTTCCATTGCCTTCTGACTTCTAGGGTCGCTGTTGAAGTCTGCTATTCTGATTCTTGATTCTTCATATTAAACTTATTCTCTCTCAAACCTTTTAGGATCTTCCTTATAACCCAAGTTCTGACATTTTTCAGCGATGGGCCTTCTATCCATTATGCTGGATACAGTATGGGCTCTTTCAATCTGGAAATTTCTGGTTTGCAATTGGGAAAATTTTTTCTTAATTCTTTCTTGGATTTTTTTCCCCCCATTTCTTCCCCGTTTCTGAATTTTCTTACCATTTAAAAGTATTTTTGAACTCCTTGTCTTTTCTCCACAATGCAATAGATTTCCTTAATTTACCTTTCAGTATTTCTATTGTGTTTTTATTTCTGCTATGATTTCTAATTTCCTAGTGGGTGCTTTTGTTCTTTTCAGTATTCTTTTTTGTTTTTACATCATCTGTTATCTCTCTGTGTGTGTTTTAATTTCACTTCTCTCTGCAACTGCATCATCTTTTTCTTCCAAGTTATTTTTTCCTGTTTGTCATGGTAAAAGATTCCTTAACTGTCTGGTCATCCTTAGCTATCTAGTTATTATTAATATTTAGGAACGGGGCCCTAAAAGATTGTTTGAAAGCATTGTATTATTTGGGTATGGGATTGTTGGCTGTGGCATTTTCTGTAGAGTGGTCTGGCTCGCCTTTTTCTTCGGGAAACACTAAGTGTCAGTATCGTTTGGTCATTTCTCTTGGACTCATCAGATTTCCCCAAACAAGTCTCTTCTGGGCTCCTGGAAAGGATATTAATCTGGCTGCCAGAGTCCTGGGACTCAAGCAGGGAAAGAAGGTTGGGGTGGGTGTTGGTTTCAATATTCAGTGTATAAACTTCCACTTCATCCTTTTGTTTTCTGTGTGGTACCTGTGTGTGGTCCAACTCTTCTGGGTAGAAGAGGGGCAGTTGTCCAACTGCACAGAAGATCTGAATGCTCTCATGCAACCCAATGAATCCTTCATTTTTAGCCCCATTGTCATCTCCAGTTCCAGAGATATATTAAACCATGAATTCCTGAGTTTTGAGGGAGTTTTGTGGTGTAAGTGGGTTCACTTCCTATCTTTTCCCACCACTGGCTCGGGATTCAGCTTTTTCGAGTGTACTAGGTCAATTTATTCTCCCACCTGCTTCGTAGTTCCAAATGTTTTAAATCCCTCTATTATTTCAGTGGAGTTTTGGAAGGGAGCCGAATTCAGTGCATGTATTCAGTTAGTCAACATTTACTCTAAGTAGACTATCCAAATCTCTTTCATTGATCTGAGTTCTATTTTAACGATCTTCTTTTTTTTTTGAGACGGAGTTTCGCTCTTGTTGCCCAGGCTGGAATGCAGTGGCGCGATCTCTGCTCACTGCAACCTCCACCTCCTGGGTTCAAGCAATTCTGCCTCAGCCTCCCGAGCAGCTGGGATTACAGGCAAGCACCACCACGCCCAGCTAATTTTTTGTATTTAGTAGAGACAAGGTTTCACCAAGTTAATCAGGCTGGTCTCGAACTCCAACCTCAGGTGATCCGCCCGCCTTGGCCTCCAAAGTGCTGGGATTACAGGCGGGTGCCACCGTACCTGGCCAACAATTTTCTTAAAGTGGGGTATGCAAAAAGCAACTCACTAAAGTAGATATAGGTAGTCCTTTCTTCTGGATTCTTAATGTTGCCTTATGTTGAATTCGCTTTTTCAACAACTTCACTTACGTTACCTTGCCGTTCACCAAAAGCTCTTAAGAAAGCCAGCTTTCCCTTTTGTGCTCTTGTTTCTTGTAGAATTTTAAAAACATAAGTATGAAGTTGGAATTTTCCCCAAGAAATTTAAAGCTGTTGATTTTTGCCCAGCTTTATAGACTGTCATGAGCTTTTATTTTTATTATCCAGTGTATGTGCTCTTCCTTTCCCAGGTTTCTATTATCTGATTAATATTAATAAATTTATGTCTGCATATTAATTTAGGGAACACCTCCTAATTGTGGCATTCACTATAGGGTGGCCTGGCTGGCCTGTTTGCTTGAGAAACCCCTAATGGCAATATCTTTTGGCCTTGATATTATTTATCATTTTGTTTTTATTTTTAAACATTTCCTTTCAGATCCTCTCTTTAGACACTCTTTTTAACTGGTCACCTCTTTTCTCAAGACCATTCTGGCAGTTTCCTATACAGCTGACCTGTACTTTAGTCCATTTCCTCCCATGTTATCCCCTGAAATATTACTAGAGTTAGGATTAATAAATTTTAATAAAATTCAGGTATATCATGTATTTCCCAATCTCCATTCTTCTATCAAAAAAGGACAAGACTTTAGCCAGGAATGGCTTACTCAGGTGCATGTGTTGGCTCTTACTGGTCCCCTCTTTCTTGTGTAAGTGCCCACAAACCCTCCCTTTGATATTTTGTTGTACAGTTTTACTGAGAGTTGACATTATGCTCAATTGCTAAGTGGGTAGCATTCACTTTCTTCCCCCTTTTAAAACCAGGGATGCTGCCATGTTCCTCTCTGTGTTGTATTGCTGTGGTTTTCTACAGTTGCTTGAAGGTTACTGACAGCTGCCAGCAGTCTTCTTTGCACAAATCCTCTTGGTGTTTGTTCAGGCGTGTGACTTGTCTGGACCACCAGGGTGTGAACTCTAACTTGGGAGACAGGAGAGGCAGGTCTTAAACTCTCTCGTCTTAGTGTGCCACACTGGTAACATGTAGAAGACACTCAGTAAATGTTTCAGTAAGCTTGTTTATTTGAAACAGTTTACTCACCTACTAGAGCTTCAATGTTTATAGACCAATATTGAATCCCATCCCACTAAATTTTGGTTATACATGTAAGGTGCTTTCTTGTGTTAAAGTGTTAAAATTTATTGAAAAAAATATCTTTTCCCAGTACCTGCTAATGTCCCAAGCGTCGTGCTGGGCTTTGGAGAGATCACAACACATGACAGCTCTTACTGTCATGGAACTCAGTGATGTTTCGTGCATGATCATCCTCTCCACTTGTTTATTGACATTGGAGGTGGCATATGTGATGTCCCTTTTTCTAAAAAATTTTCTCCTAAGACTGTCTGTAGTCTTTCTTTACGTAATCATATCTGACATGGGTCAACTTTGTTGCTGCCACCCTAGCCCAACTCATGGTCGTCTTGTGCTTAGCTGCCTACAGTTCTTTCTCCACTCAATAGCCTGAGTGATCAAAAAGGTGATTCAGACTCCACATCCTCTCCCCTCCAGAGGCTTCCATCACACTTAAATATAATATCCAGACTTCTTCTCTACCTTACTCTGGCTCTGCCTCCCTCTTCACCTCCCCACTACCATCCTTCTCATTTATTATGTTCTGGCCAAGTTCATTGTTGTCAAACACCTCGAGATCCTTCGTCTTTCAGGGCCTTCCTTTTCTCTCTGGCTCTACCCTTAGATTTGCCAGACTTCCTCCCTCAGTTCTACACCTTGTACCCTAGCTGTCATTTTCTGTTTCTTTACTTGGCTGTATTTTTTTAAAAGCTGATCATCACCTGAAATCATTATCTATTTTTTGTATTGGCTTTCTCCCACCATAAGCACTGGGATTTTGTCAGGTCTGTTGACTGCTGTATCCCCAGTGTTAGAACAGTGCCTGGTCAATGTTTGTTGAATGAATGATGCAGTAATTGTATCAACTTACATTGTTTCTTTCTACCTCTCTATTTTTAGTTCAGAGCCCTTTGGATGAGACAGGCGTTTCTGAACAAAGGCATTCTTCCAGACTTAATTAGGTTCCCTCTTCTAGGGTTAAGTGCTTAATCTTTGCAGCATCTTAAAACGGTAAAAACTAAATTCTATTCTTTGATGCCATCTATGTAATCAGTGGTTAACTTTCACACGCTTCTTTCCTGTTGGAATAATAGATGAAAAGACCAAGCGTGGCTTTAAGTCCTTCTGTTTTATAATTCCTGGACACATTTCTCAAATTTCTGCTGCAGGTTTTCTTGTTATCCCATAATCTTGACAGGTTTTCTCTCACCTCTTGGATTCCTGCTGTCAGACCTTGTTAGGCTTGTTAATTTTCTGTATAGCATGGAATGATGGTTTTCTAGAAGGTTCTGACAAACCCTTACTCTCATTTATCTTATTGCTCCTCTGGTACAGAATCTTTCATTCCTCTCCTATGTTCCCTTGTATCTTTTTTTCCCCCTAAATTACCTCCCTTAATTCCAAGTGGGTGGAAGGAAAAGGAATGGAATTTGGTCTTAAAGGATGAATAATGACTTCGTTGGAATATCAGTAAAGGAACTCTAGTCTGCGGGAATGGTACGAGCAAACACATAGAAGTGTGAAATGTGTAATGTGTTTGGCAAAAGTGGTTTGGGATGGCTGGAGTGTGTGTTTATCTCTAGTGTGAAGTCTGGCCAGAAAGGTAGATTGTGATCTTTTTCTTTTTTTTCTTTCAGACAGAGTCTCACTCTGTCACCCAGGCTGGAGTGCAGTGGTGCAATCTCAGCACACGGCAACCTCCACCTCCCAGGTTCAAGTGATTCTCCTGCCTCAGCCTCCCAGGTAGCTGGGATTATAGACACCTGCCATCACGCCTGGCTAATTTTTGTAGTTTTAGTAGAGACGGGGTTTCGCTATGTTGGCCAGGCTGGTCTCAAACTCCTGACCTCAGGTGATCCTCCTGCCTCGACCTCCCAAAGTGCTGGGATTACAGGCGTGAGCCACTGCGCCTGGCCTGATTGTGATCTTAAATGCTAGTTCTAGGGTTATGGAAGTCTGTACTTTGGTCTCATAATATTTTTGTTTCTCTGGTGTAGAAATTATTTTGTTATGTTTTACATACTAGTTGAAAGCAAGAGTCTGTTTTTATTTTTTCCTCATCTTCAACAGTATCTAATAGAGTAGCTTGCACATAATAAGAGTTCAAAGTTGAGTTGAATTGAATTCTGATAAAATGGTTTAATTTTCCCAAGAAAATCTAGAAGCCTGGACTCTTTCTACTGAATTAATCAAAAGGAGAAAATACATAACTTTTTTAATTGTACACCTTATATGAGTCTGTACTGTAGATATTCATTTTTTTGTCTTCTTTATATCTCCTACCTCACTTTTCCTTTTTGTAATATGTAATCACCACAACAGGCAGTCTTGGGATCAAGGAGAGGGGCTTGGGAGATATTTAACTCCTCAGTATCTCCATCAAGTCCCCATTCTTTGATAGGACAGTTAATCTTTTCATAATCTTCAATGCAGTGCTATGCAGAGGCATGTTCTTGTACCTCCTTCCAATCAGAGAACTGCGTGTGTCCCTCAATGCAGAAAATCTGGAACCACCATCAAGAACAAACTTATATACCTTTGAGAAAGGCTGAGAGAAAAAAAAAAAAGCCGTATGTATTAGGTATCACTATTCTCTTTACAGGTGAAAAAGCTGATTCATAAAGGTTAAAGGTCTAAGATTATTTAGCTAGTAAGCAAATGAGTTGGAATTAGAACACAGGTCTTATATTATTTTCTTTCCTCTATTTTTTAGGTATCCCAAATTCCACTTAAGGTTGATGAATGGCCTACTGGTCAGTTGAAAAAATTCAATTTGTGTAGCATTGTCTAGCACAAATGCTGAAAGTAGGTCTCCTCATCTGCTAAGGGATATAAGCAAATTCAAAGCCTCTGGCCTTTCTTGTGACACATGCATGAAAGTAGGTAATAAAAAGAAAAGTAAATATTATTTTATGCCACAGTAAGTATAATGTTAAAATAATTTCAGTACGTTTAATTTTCTTTCATATATATATATATATGTATGTATATATAATTTTTTTTTTCTTCCTTGAGATGAAGTCTTGCTCTGTCACCCAGGCTGGAATGTAGTGGCGCGATCTTGGCTCACTGCAACCTCCGCCTCCCAGGTTCAAGCAATTCTCCTGCCTCAGCCTCCCTAGTAGCTGGGATTACAGGTGCCCACCAGTACACCTGGCTAATTTTTGTGTTTTTAGTAGAGACAGGGTTTTGTCATGTTGGCCAGGCTCATCTCGAACTCCCGACCTCGGGTGATCCACCTGCTTCGGCCTCCCAAAGTGCTAGGATTACAGGCATGGGCCACTGCGCCCAGCCCGATAATTTTTATTACAGTAAGTTTGATTAGAGTATGAGTGACCAAAATCTATTTCTAAAACATAGAGTTATTGGTGAATTAGAAGGGGGTGGATGTTATTCCTTATTGTCAACATGGTTCATGTAGACTGTGGAGATGAATGGATTACATTTGGCTTTTATTAATGCTTACAAGCTGTATTTTTCCTTTTTTGCTTTTTTCTAGTTCTTATTGAACAGGATTGATTTGAAAAATTCACATGTAAACTCAGGATGCTGGGCTCTTATATCATTTCATGGTGGATGATTTGTGTAAAATTGCAACTGAGTGAATTTCATTCAAGCAGTAGGAATCTTGAAGATGTGAGTCCATTACTAGCAAATGTTATGTTCTGAGTATATTGTCTGAGTTTTTTTTTTTACCTGCAGTCACAGAGCAGTGACAGTTCATACCATTGTACATAGCCGTATCATACTTCATTAAGCAGTTTTGTATTGCTCTAAAATCACTGTTTTTGCTTTTTTCCTCAACAATATGTGTCTGAGTTTTTTTTCTCTTAGTAGGATTAATAATAATCTACTTTCCCTGGCTGTGATGCTCTTTAGAGATCAAACAGCATTTCTAAGTTGCAAGGAATCTTCCACCCTGTTGTCTTCTGCTTTTACACACCCACACAGTCACATGTTAATGAATGTGATAGTTCTGTAGGTTATTATTTCTTTATGCATATAAATATGTTTCATGGTACTTAAAGACAGGGTAGGGTAGTAATACTGACACTGATGTTAGAGGGAAAAGTAGTGAATAAAGCCAATAAAAAAACCAGTAAAGGATATATCCATCTGTGAGGTTTTGCTTATGCTCATTATAGCAAACTCTTCATTCATTCACTAGATAAACCACTAATTCGCATTTTACCAGATGTTCCCCTTAAGCAATATGAAGCTACTCCTTTTCCGCTTTGATTCTATTTTGCAATATATCTTTTCTATCAGCATTAGATTCAAAGTTACCCCTGGACTGTGCCCTCAGTTTACTCATCTGGCCTTTGTCACTGAACAAGAATTGTACTCGTGGAGGTGTATTGGCCTTTTTGAATGAGCGTCTTCACTCCTGCCTCACTGCTTTTACTTATGATGTTCTTGTTTGGAATTTTTCTTCCTCCTATCTGAATCCTATCCTGATGAGCCAGTTCATATTCCCTCCTTTCAAGAAGCCTTCCTCTTCAGTCCACACTGACCACCTCCTTCTCTGAACACAGCATAAATTACCTTGGCTATTGTTAACTAAGTGTTTCATGTCACCTACCTATAGAAATATTGAATCTTTTAAAGCATAGGATGAGGACCTATCATTCTGATCATGAAACAAGTTCTTCTGCCCAGAATTTAATAACATATTGTTGAACAGTATGGGTAGAGTAAATAACAGTAACACAACTATGTATCCATTGTTTACTTATTTGCTATATGTAGTGGTATGTATTTTACATATACCGTGGTTAACCTCACAACTGTTACAGGTGAGGAAAATAAGGCACACATAGATAGGGTTAAGTGATTTGCCTGTGTCATGTAGTAGCTTCTTTTTAGTAGAGCCAGGAACTCTTAGTTATCTCATCCATTCCAATCTGTGAGTTTCTCAGGTGTTTCTATCTTTCATAACCTTGATCCTATTGAAAAGTAAGCACCTGTACTTTTAGAGCAATTATATAATTTGAAATCCACACATGTGGACCCATGTGAAGTTTAAATTCTTAACAATAATGATATAAAACAGTTCAATAGTATTATGATTTCAAATTTAATTTGAAGTCAGTTTGAAAAATAATAAATTTTTTTCTTCAGAAGTACAAAGTTAAAGGCTTGGAGCTAGTCTTGACAGGAGAGTAGTGTTTAAGAAACAACTATACAACCGTAGCATGTATTAGGGAGGCCTATCTCAATTTGTTGTAATGCTAGATTTACATCACAGATGGTAGCTTCAGCTTTGATTTTAGCTCTTTCATGGAAAATAATGTGTTTTACAGCATCAGGGATTGTAAACAAGTTCCAAAGTTGAGTGCATTTCAGAAGTTTTGGCATAGCTCTAAGCTTAGTAAATTCATCTTCAGAATGTCATGAATATTGAGTTTTTGTTGGTCATATTTTGCTTTCAGCTCTTGAATTTTGTTCATGAAAATGTGAGCCATGCAATGGGATAAATGCTTGGTAATTCAGGCCTGTCCCTGAGGGATCCACCTTGGAGGTAAACACAGACAATGAAAGTGTGATTCCTTATAAAATTTGTAACCTTCTTTTGAAATTGAGTTCTAGGAAATATTCTCAAAGTTTTAAATTTAGTGATTCTGTTGAGTTTGAGGATTGGTCAGCTTATGAAAAATGAATGCAGTCTCCTATTATTTGATCTACATGTCTGGTTTGAATCAGAGCACTTGTGTTTCCTTGATCATATCAGCAGTGCTACTGCTTTTTGCCCCCTGTAGTTTCAGTTTTGGTGTGTTCAGATGTCTTGTCACATCATGGAAGAACAATTTTTTTTTTTTTTTTTTGAGACGGAGTGCCGCTCTGTCGCTCAGGCTGGAGTGCAGTGGCGCGATCTCAGCTCACTGCAATCTCCGCCTCCTGGGTTCAAGCAATTCACTTGCCTCAGCCTCCCTAGTAGCGGGGATTACAGGTGCCTGCCACCATGCCCGGCTTATTTTTATATTTTTAGTAGAGACGGGGTTTCACCATGTTGGACCAGGTTGGTGTCAAACTCCTGGCCTCAGGTGATCCGCCCACCTCGGTCTCCCAAAGTGCTGGGATTACAGGTGTGAGCCTCCGTGCCTGCCTGGAAGAACAATCTTAGAGTCACCAGGGCGTCTGACAAGTTGAGCCACTCCAAGCCCTTTAATTCCAAGTGTCCTTGATCTGAGGAAGCAGCTTAATAAATCTCTTGAACAGGTTTTCACAGCCTAGCCATATGACTGCATTAAAATAAAGTCAACTTCTTTATACCTCTTCAAATATTTCTTGGATTTGTGAAGATTAAGGTGACTGAAGAGTCACAATCTCAATCTGTCACTGCTTTCATCATGTCATGCAGTGAACCTGATTCATTCATTCAGTAAGTAGTTTTTGAGATTTCTATGCCCTAGGAACTATTCTATGTACTGGGGATACAGCAAAGAACACCAAGCTTACTTATTTTTTAAGGGGACTAAACAGAGACACAGGTAAAATATACAGTATAGCAGATGAAGATATGTACTGTTTTGGAGAAAATTAAGTTAGGAAACGGGGATGGGGAGCCGTGTGTGTGTGTGTGTGTGTGTGTGTGTGTGTGTGTGTGTGTGTGTGTGTGTGTATGTGCCTGCAGTTTACAATAGGGTTGTCACGAAAAGCCTCACTGGGATGAGGGGGCAAACAAACTTGATATTTAAGAAAGGAACATTCCAGGCAGAAGGAATAGCAAGTGCAAAAGTCAGGAGGCAATCCTGAGAGCTCAGTAGCATCAAGAAAACCAGAGTGGTCTGAGAAGTGGAAGGAAGGGAACAGCAGGTCCAGGCTATTTTGTGCCCAAGCATCTAGGGTGTTGTTCCAAGCCATTATAAAAACTTGACTTTTGTTCTGCATGTGACAGGAAGATATTATGGGGTTTCGAGCAGAGGAGTAATAAGATCTGGCTTTCCAATCACGTTATTGAAACTAGTGTTGAGGGGACACGGGTGGAAGCAGATAGAAGGCTATTGCAGTAATAGAGGTGACAGATAATGGTGACTTGAACGAGAGTGGTAGCAGTGGAGAACTGATAGGACGTGGTCAGATTCTGGCCATATTTGGAAGACAGAGCCATCAGCATTTTCTGATGAACTGGATAGATGCTGTGAGAAAGTGGCAATAAGGTTTTCAGTCTGAACACCTGAAGGTGGAATTACTGTTTACTGAAGTAGGGAAGGCTGTTGGTGGAGCAGGTTGTGTAGAATATCAGGAGTTGGTAATAGATGTGTGTTGTGGATGAGACAATGGAACGTGAGTGTGGTCAGCCTCATCTCTTGAATACACTTCAGAAATTTGCACAACCCTCTCTTTACTGCAGTTACTCCATTCATGATAATGATTTAAACTTTTCAGTGTCTAAATCAAGTGTCTTAGATTCCCTGATGGCAGGTACTCGTGCCTGTTAGCTAACTGGGTTTCAAAGAAAATCTCAAATCTCAAGCAGGCCACACTCTGGTAAGCAGGTAGCACAAGATCCAGTGGTTCTATGGGGAGCCAAATGTTTCTGCTGCCACACCATATAGGTGAACCTGGAAAAAACAAGCAAACAAAAACAGAATAAAATGGAAGCCTCAACAATAATTGAAAAATACAATAAACAACCCATGTTTGCAAAATCAGGCACTGAAAACAATAGGGCTGATGGGAGTTGGGACGGACCAACTAAAACTGAGGAACTTTGTAAACCAAGTAGCCTAATAGGGCTTGGTCCTTCCCATGTAACCAAGTAGTGCATGGGAAGTACTCAAAAAATGTTAGTGGCAGTTCTGTTGTTGACACAAGAGTACTAAAAAACAAAATAAAACAAGAGCCAGCACAGTCAACTCTAACTGGTACTTGTTTCCAGTATCACAGTCAGAAAATTCTGTGTAGCTGTAAACCCTGGGGCTCATGCTTTCTTCTTTGGGAAATAGGTGTTAGAGGGTATTTTGCTTCCAATAGAGACCATTTGGATAAAAATTGAAAAGCTGATCCAGCATATAGCCTTCTTAATCCATTGTTTCAATACAGGGAGGAATGTATTTGCAGCCTTCTTTTTTTTTTTTTAAGACAGGGTCTCACTCTGTCACCCAGACTGGAGTGCAGTGGCGCTGTCTCCACTCACTGCAACCTCTGCCTCCCAGGCTCAAGCGATTCTCCTGCCTCAGCCTCCTGAGTAGGTGGGATTACAGGTGTGCCACTACCGCCTGGCTAATTTTTTTTTCTTTTTCTATTTATTTATTTATTTATTTATGAGATGTAGTCTCGCTCTGTCACCCAGACTGGAGTGCAGTGGTGCGGTCTTGGCTCACTGCAAACTCCGCCTCCCGGGTTCACACCATTCTCCTGCCTCAGCCTCCCGAGTAGCTGGGACTACGGGCGCCCGCCACCACGCCCGGTTAATTTTTTGTATTTTTAGTAGAGATGGGGTTTCATCATGTTGACCAGGAGGGTCTCGATCTCTTGACCTCGTGATCCACCCGCCTCGGCCTCCCGAAGTGCTGGGATTACAGGCGTGAGCCACCGCGCCTGGCCTTTTTGAATTTTTAGTAGAGACTGGGTTTCACTATGTTGGCCAGGCTGGTCTCGAACTCCTGACCTCAAATGATGTACCCGCTTCGGCCTCCCAAAGTCCTGGGATTACAGGCATGAGCCACCATGCCTGGCTGTATTTGCAGCTTTCTCATCTGCATTTGCAGCTTTGCCAGATAACTTAGAAGGAAAGTATAGTGGTTTTTGAAGCCACTGAATCAGCTACCACATATGCTAAAGTAAGTCACTTCTGTAGACTTTCAGCTTTTTTTTCCGCCTTTAAGGTCATCTTATATTGCCAAGGCTTTCTCTTTAATCATGAGAAAACTTGTCTATGCTTGAAAACATTATTATGCTGAGAAAAATTGCATGTGAGCCAATGTGACTTCACCATTATGCCAACAGCATTCATCTGTTGCCAGTCAGATATGAGGTAATGCTTGTCAAAGAAACTGCAGCAGAACAAACTGTGCTGCTGACCTAGGACTCCTTAGATTTGCCCTTCAACCCGGGAACCAAACTCAGATCTACCTCCTTATTGATAGTCTAGGATTTTTCAGTTTAAAATAGGTATTCCCCGGGAGGCGGAGCTTGCAGTGAGCTGAGATCGCACCACTGCACTCCAGCCTGGGCGACAAAGCAAGACTCAAAAAAAAAAAAAAAGGTATTCAGTAAGAACAACTTTAAGTTATTTTAATAATATGCTCAAAAAACATTTGAAAAAGCTCAACATCTATTTTTTTTAAGCCATTTTAAAACTAGGAAAAGAAAACTTTTTTTTTTTTTTTTTTGAGACGGAGTCTGACTCTGTTGCCCAGGCTGGGGTGCAATGGCACAATTTCGGCTCACTGCAACCTCCGCCTCCCGGGTTCAGCTGATTCTCCTGCCTCAGCCTCCCGAGTAGCTGGGACTACAGCTGCACACCACCATGCCCAGCTCATTTTTGTATTTTTAGTAGAGACGGGGTTTCACCATGTTGGCCAGGATGGTCTCAATCTCTTGACCTCGTGAGCCGCCCGCCTCGGCCTCCCAAAGTGCTGGGATTACAGGCGTGAGCCACTGCGCCTGGCCGAGAAAACTGTATCTTTAATAAGATCCACTGTCTTAAACCAACAAGTCAGTCTTGTACTCGACAGTGATACAGTAGGGCATCTTCAGTTTACATCAGGAATATATAAACCTTCTATCACCATTAACATTGTTCTAGAAGTTCTAACTCGTGCAATAATCCACCATACCAAAGTAAGTATAATGATCTGAGAGGAGATAAAATACAAAAAAAAGAAAATCAACTAAAAATTACAAGTGCTGTATTTGGTAAGTATACAAAAATCAGTATCTTTCTCAAGTGTTAGCAATAACCAGTTAGAAACATGTAGCATAAAAAAATCCCATTTATCAAAGCGTCAGCAAATATAAAATTAGAAATAACCCTAACAAATATGTCCAGTTGAAATGAAGAAAACTATAAAACTTTTCTTGAGGTTTTTAAAATAAATAAATGAACTAGAGGGACATACATTGTTTCTGAATACAAAAACTAGAATATTGAGATGTCACTGTTCCAATTAAATTTAACGTGATTTGAGTAAAATTGACAAAATGATTTACAAAATGATTCTAAGCAAGAAGCATAAAGGGAGGACTAATATCAAAATTAAAAAATAGTGGTCAACACTGTGTTGCAGTTTAGCAATAATGGTCATGAGTTGAGGTATTGGAGGTAGAGTATAGGATTCCAGGTCTAGCTCTGATTTATCAGCCACATGACTATGGCCCAGGTACCTAATGTCTTCAAGGATAACTTTACTCACCTGTAAAGTGTAGGATTAAATGAGATAAAGAGTTGAGCAAATTGCTGGTGCTTGGGAAGTACTCAAAAAGATGTTAGTTGCTATTTTGTTGTTGACCAAAAGTTAATGGAAGGTAATAGTCTACACATAGACCATAGTATAAATAAGAATTTATTATTTGTTAAATTAGCTGTTCTGAATTAACAGTATTACTCACACTATACGTCAAAATAAATTCCATGAAACCATAAACAGGTATTAATAGAAGAAAACAGTATTAAATAGCTGAAGAGCTTTAAAGTGTTGAGACAAGGTCTAAAGTCAAGTTGATTTGGCTGTACAAAAATTTGTTTCCACAAAAAGAAAAACAAATTGGGTAACAAACTGAGGCACAAGTAGTGTTGTATTGGTGTTTAACAACCAGCTCTCCAAGTGAAGAAAAAAAATCCAGATTTGCTACATTTGCTGATTTCCATGGTGTATATACTCCCACTATGACTAATTTTAAGCTACCGATGTAAAGTCCATGAGCAGAAGTTAGGAAGAAATGTTCAAGGTTGTCTCTCATGAGCTGGTGTGAGTCAATGTGAGATCACTGCAGCACACAAATGGCACAGACATGGCAGGACATGCTGAGAAACCCTCTTAAGATCACCCAGCCCACCGAGGTGAACCTGTGACTCCCAGGCCAGAGCACATTCCTTTTTGTAGTTGCCTTCCCCAGGAAGCATAAGATAGACATAACAGAGCAAAAAATTCACTGTTGTCATGGAGAGCACCTTGAGGGAGCTGGACCTGTAGATGCTCTCAGTAGAGAAATCCCTGTAGGGTGGCTGGGGCGTACCCTGGGAGCAGCCTCTTTGGGAACAAAGTCATACAATGACTGAAGATTAAGGAGAGGGGTGTTGCTAGGCAAATGCTCTGGACCAGAACAGAGATGTTCCTCTGGTGCCTTCTTTTCTTTCCGAAACCTATGATATTCTTGGCAGTGGCACATGTGTTTTACTCTCTTCCTTGATAAGGTGCTTATAGTCTTTCTCTTTGTTTTTTTACTATCTTTTTGATATTATTTAATTATTGCCTATAATAGTTTTCATAAATGTGGTCACCAGAAAGATGAGTCATGGAGGCAGTGGTAGTATATGAATGCATGAAGGGTTGTGTCTAGGAGTGACGACTAAGGTGATATCTTGTTGTAAAGGATGTGTCTGATACGGGCCAGGCAGACATGATATCGTCTGGAAGGGAGGTTTGAAGGTATAGAGGCTTGGGGTCCTTTGCCATGTTTGTTGACATAGGGCTTCCATCAGGGGCTTGCACTTTTTATTCTACAGTGGATGACTACTAGCTGGTCATTTCGTAACCCAGGCTTACATGTGCCATCTTAAAATGGGTTGTTCCTTTGTGATTGCATCTGTAGTTCTAATAGAAGATCAGCTTATTCTTGGGTGGACTTTGTGGAAAGAAGCAGGATTTAACTGGCTTTCAGAGAAATGAAGACTTTGTGAATTTGGGAGCCATATTGTTTAAGTTGTATAGTTATTTGAAGCCTGTGACTGAGAATCATTACTTAGGGCAGTACAGAAAGAACCAATTGACATGGAGTGGGATGGGGTACAGAGACTGAGGAGAGAAGAAAATAGTTACTTTTGTGGGATTAACACAGATTAATTTTACACTGTGAGAAAAGTAGCTGTAACAGACACATAGAAGACTGGCTGGTGGGCAAGATAAATTGCCGTAATTGTATACAAACCAGTGCAGGTCTGTCTGAGCTTGGGACCTGGCTTTACAAGTGGGATGTCTTAATGACTCATTGGGTGTGGAGGTTTATAGATACATGTGTTTTTAGAGCATTTACTTATTCAAGTTAGGCTTATTAGCATTCATTTTTCTTGGTTGCTTTTTTTTTTTTTAAGAACAAATTTAGTATCTCTCATTTGTAGAGCTATTAATTTGATGGTTCACTGTTCCCCCTCACTTATTTGAGTGTGTCTAATCTAATCACTTTTGATCTTTAGCTGGCTTTCCTTAACTCAGCTTCTGGTGTGCCCATATGTTTTCTTGTGAATGTTTGCTGATCATGGAATCATTGAATGTCAAAGTTGGAAAGGACTGCAATAGTCTTCTGATCAGACTGTCAATTTGATGTTTGAGTCCTCTGTGTTATTTCCTTCTCTACTTGCTTCTTAATAATAGATTGGGTCTTGATTTTTTTTTTCTTTTTTTGAGATGGAGTCTTGCTCTGTCAGCCAGGCTGGAGTGCAGTGGTGCAATCTCGGCTCACTGCAACCACCGCCTCCTGGGTTCAACCAATTCTCCTGCCTCAGCCTCCTGAGTAGCTAGGATTACAGGCGTGCGCCACCATGCCCGGCTAATTTTTGTATTTTTAGTAGAGACGGGGTTTCACCATGTTGGCCAGGCTGGTCTTGAACTCTGACCTCGTGATCCACCCCCCTTGGCCTCCCAAAGTGCTGGGATTACAGGCGTGAGCCACTGCGCCTGGCACGTCTTGATTTTTTAATAGTTGGAATTTGCCAAGAAGGAGGATTTGGGGGTTTTGTGACGATATATCATCTTCATATACAGCAGTCACTTGGAGATAACCCATTGGTCATACTTAGGGGTAGCTGAAGGTCAGCTGGTTATCTGATGCTGAAATGTCAGTGCACATTCAGTGGCCCGTGCTGCAGGATACTTCAACCTTTAATTTTAAACCTTGGGCCACAGATGGGAGTTTAGTTGGACTTTGGACCCAAATTGTAAGGCCAGGTTAAACTCAGCACTCTCATGCTCCTAGGACTTCCTCCATGGTTCTGATCTATTTCCGGGCATGGAGCGGGTGCTGAAGGTTGGTTGATTGTGGAGAAACAACCTTGTTTTATCCAAAGATAGTAAGGCAAGCCTGCAGATCTAAGAGCTGCTTATTTGTAAATTATACTGAAATGCTAGGAGAAGTTCTCTGGAAACGGTCTAAATTGTAGTTCTTTAATATTTTCTGCTTGTAGAATTTGAATGGGAAGTACTTGGTGTGGTTTAGGTTTTACCAAGGAAGGCCAGCTGATAGCTGTGAAGAGGCGCTCTGCTAAGTGTCATTGACCTTAGAATCCACAAAGCTCTGGGGCTTTGGAGACTTAGAACTTTATTTTGCTAGATTTAAAGTGTACTCTTCTCTTAACGTAGAATTCATGTAAAACTACATCATAAGACACACCTATCAACCCAGCAGGCTAATTTATTCAAGAATCAACTGACAGGCAGACCAGAAATTTTTTGTCAGTTTGGTAAGTGTGAAAGTAAAGCCAAATTATTATTATTTAAGAACTATTACATTTATTCTTAATAGAAAAGTAGTATGGTTATTTTTTAAAAATCCAATCCCAATATGTGCGAGTCCTTTCTCATTCCACCTTATGAGATAACAAATGTTAGCAGCTTAGTCTGTATATATTCTTCCCAAGTGTCTGTAATTGCAATAAGCTCCATTGCTCTATTGCTTTATTTTTCTGTAGTTCTCTAGTTATGTTTTGCACTCCACTTGTCAACCTGTGGAAGGCAAGAGCACAGTCAGAAGGTTGCCTGATGACATGGAATCAGATGAAGGGAAGGGGAGTAGGCTGGATGACCCATGGTGCAGCCTCAGTTCAGTAGCCTGAATTGTCTATTCAGCAGTAAAAGCACGTCTGCATGAGAAGCTAGGTGCCAGAGTTCACTCTTCTAGGACCCTTTCCCCAACACAGTTTGGAAGGACAGTATCAAGGTTTATCTGTCACACTTTTATTTTTCACTATAACTACCCAGGTACAAATCCTGGCACCTAATAGGTGCTAAGTAAATAGTAGTATGTGTCTACCTGCCCTATCCATTTCCTATTTTCTGACAAATACAGTCTTTTTTTTTTTTTTTTTTTAAGAGATAGGGTCTCACTTTGTTGCCCAGGCTGGTCTTGAACTCTGAGCTCAAGCAATCCTCCCACATCAGCCTCCCAAAGTGCTGGGATTATAGGCATGAGCCACTGCACCCGGTCCTGACAAGTACAATCTTTCTGTAGCTGTGTTTATACTGCAGTCTGGTTTTGCCTTGTCACGTGAGTCCTTTGATCTCTATAAGATGATTTTTCTAATTCAGATCTATTTTATGTTATATTTTAGTTGTCTGCAACATTATTTACCCTCTTCCCTTGTGTTGCCTACAGAGGGATTGAAAGTCAGCACCTTATCTAGTAATTCTAGTAACTTCTGATTTCTCAGAAACATGATTTTGTTCATCAAATTTCATTATTACCCAAGTCTTTACCTTAAAGACCTTCCACTTTCATCTCGTATATCTGATGCGGTAGCTATATGAAAAGTGTTCATATGGAGTCTGTCATGAAGTCAGCAGAACTCTGCAGGTGAAGTGGCCAATGTGGACCCTTTGAAGTGTTTTAATGTGATTTCTTTTATACATATAACAAATTTATTGAGATATAATTCATATACCATACAAAATGATTTTTAGTATGTTCATAGAGTTGAATAGCCACCGCCACAATCAGTTTTAGAACATTTTTATCACCTCAAAAGAAACCCCATACCCATTAGCAGTCATTCCCCATTTCCTCTCAACTCCCACTTTCTGTCTCTATAGATTTGCCTATTCTGGGTATTTCATATACATTGAATTATATAATATATGGGCTTTGTGCCTGGTTTCTTTCACTTAGAATGTTTTCAAGGTTCATTCATGTTGTAGCATGTGTGTATCATTACTTCATTCCTTTTTATTGCAAAATTATATTCTATGGCATGGATGTACCATATTGTGTTTAATCACTCATCAGTTGATGGGCATTGTATGTGATTTTTTTAATAGCAAAGTAGCACTTTAAGTATTATTGTTTTTGAAATACAATCAAGTGTTTTACAGAATTTAGGTGGAAGTTACAGATGGCTAGGAGGAAACAACAGTTTGTTTCTGCCTGTTAAATATCACTGCAGGTGTTTTCTTCAAATATCAAGAGTAATATTTGGACATTTGGAAATTACCTTTGAAATCAAAAGACAAAATATGTTAATAACATGCTATTCTTGGTTATGACCTATAATTTTCCTGTAAGAAAAAGTTAACCATGTAAAAAAAAATAATTTACCCACTGTCTCACGCGTCCATGTGAAGAGACCACCAAACAGGCTTTGTGTGAGCAACAAGGCTGTTTATTTCACCTGGGTGCAGGCGGGCTGAGTCCGAAAAGAGTCAGCAAAGGGTGGTAGATTATCATTAGTTCTTATAGGTTTTGGGATAGGTGGTGGAATTAGGAGCAACGTTTTGCGGGCAGTGGGTGGATCTCACAAAGTACATTCTCAAGGGTGGGGAGAATTACAAAGAACCTTTTTAAGGGTGGGGAAGATTACAGAGTACATTGATCAGTTAGGGTGGGGCAGAAACAAATTACAGTGGTGGAATGTCATCAGTTAAGGCTATTGTCACTTCTTTTGTGGATCTTCAGTTGCTTCAGGTGATCTGGATGTATACGTGCAGGTCACAGGGGATATGATGGCTTAGCTTGGGCTCAGAGGCCTGACACCCATCTGGCCAACATGATGAAACCCCGTCTCTATTAAAAATACAAAAATTACACAGACATGGTGGCATGTGCCCGTGGTCCCAGCTACTTGGGAGGCTGAGATGGGAGAATCACTTGAACCTGGGAGGTGGAGGTTGCGGTGAGCCGAGATTGCGCCACTGCACTCCAGCCTGGGCGACAGAGTGAGACCCTGTCTCAAAAAAAATTTTTTATTTTAGATAAATTAAGCTGTAGAATGTACTGCGGTATTTTTACTGCAATTCTTACGCCTCTCATTTTCCTCTTTTCCCTCCTTTTTTCCACATAGTTCATTCCACAGTGTCTACACAGGATATGCTAACCACAGTAAACAGAGCGCAGCAAAGTGTCATGGGTCCTGGCCCAACTGTCTGGTTCACATTCCTGCTGTAGTACGTACTGACCATTTGAGTTGGGCATATTACTTAACCCCCTTTGTCTCAGTTTCCTCATCAGTAAAATGGGAATAATAACAACATCAACTTCATAACACTTGTTCTGAAGAATAAATGAGTTAATACAGGCAAAATGGCACATGGAATATGCTCAATAATATTAGCTAAAATCTGTCTCTTTGTATGGTATTATGATTTAGTGTTACACAGTCACTTTAAGTACTTGTATAAAACATCATTTTGGTAATAGTCTTAATTTTGATTGATCTATAATCTTTTTCTACCTTAATACGTGCAGCTTTTCCTATAATTTCGCCAACCCTCAATTACGAACTCAAATGGGTTGTGTTATAAAAGGGAGGACAACCAGGCACAGTGGCCCATGCCTGTAATCCCAGCACTTTGAGAGGCCAGGGCAGGAGGATCACTTAAGGCCAGGAGTTTGAGACCAGCCTGGGCAACATAAACGAGACCCCATCTCTACAAAAAATAACAATATCAGCCAGGTATAGCAGTGCATGCCTGTAGTCCTAACTACTCAGGAGGCTAAGGTGGGAGGATTACTTGAGCCCAGAAGTTTGAGGCTGCAGTGAGCTATGATCCTGTCACTGCGTTGCAGCCTGGGTGACAAAACAGGATTCTCTCTTTAAAAAATAAATAAAATAAAATATGAAAGGGAGGACAGAAAGGGTAGAACCCAGAGACAAGGAAGGTAAATTAGCAAGAGAACAGCAGAAAGGTGAAAGTAAAGTAGCTGAATCTCTTAAGCTCCAAGCACCCTTCCTTTTATATGATAAGTTATTTATTGAATGAATGGATTTTTAAGTTTGGTTGATTACAGGTTTCAGAATTGAAGTTTCCTTCAACTTCCTTTAAAACTTTAAGACCTCACAGTCTGTATGTTTATCAAAACATCATGTTGTACACCTTAGATATATATACTTTTTACTACTCAATTATACCTCAGTAAAGCTAGGTGGAAAATTTAAGCTATAAAAAAGGCATTTCAGTTTTTCTCATTGTATTGTCATTTGAAAGTTACTATTAATTTGTTTCTTACACAATTGTCTATAAAACTGTGTACTCATTCGTTGCTTCTGGTTGTATTTCCCTTACAACTAGTTTTTCAGTTTTCAAACACACATTTTATAATATGTACAGTATGGGAACAACTTAAAGATGTTTGAGATGAATATTTGTGGGAACTCACTTTTTTTAATGCTTCATAGGGAAGATTTTCCTGTATCCCACTAGGAAAGGACATAACAATGATTTAGGGCTTAGTCCTAGGAACTTAAAATCATTTATCCTGAAAACAATGCATGCTATAGAGTAGTTGTCCTTACCTTGCAGGTGGGGAGGTCAGTTCAGCTGATCATCTACTGTTTAGAAGACTAGCTAGAATTCAAGCCCAGGTTTGTGTTCCTTTCCCTCTCCATACCTGTTTACCTCTCTAAATTGCCAGTTTTCCTGCATTCTTCAGGAGAAATCTTGCTCCTACCTGGGTCATTCTCAGCATACAGCTTTCTAAGGAAATTTGAAGTGTTCTAATCTCCCATCAATAAGTGTTAGGTTAAATGACTTAAACATTTTCTGGTGGTTTTGATATATAGGTGATATAATGAGGAAGTAGAAAAAGCATAATCTGGATAAATGGGAGCATATATTATATATAATGTATGTTATTTCTTTCATAATTAAATAGCATTAATGGAAATCAGAATGGGAAAAATGCATTATAAATCAAATTACTTAAAAATTGCATCATCCCTTTCTAATGCTTACATATTTGCATATTCTCCTTTGCATATTTGTATAATCAGAGCATAGATGCAATTTCAAACCATGTTTCTAACACAACTGTTTATTATAATCATTTTTATATGTTACTATACAGTCTTCATAGTTATTTTTATGACTTTAATATCCCAGTTGTAGATTTATTTTCTATTATTGGATAGTTAATTTGTAATTTTTTTTCTCATAATAGCATTGTATTGAACATGTGGAGCTATTTTAATGTTTTTTTTGTTTGTTTGTTTTTTGTTTTGAGACAGGGTCTCGCTCTGTCGCCCTGGCCGGGGTGCGGTGGCATGATTACGGCCCACTGCAGCCTCCATTGCCAGGGCTCAAACGATTCTACCACCTCAGCCTCCCAAGTAGCTAGGACCACAGGTGTGTGCCACCACACCTGGCTAATTTTTTAATTATTTATAGAGACGAGGTCTCACTATGTTGCCCAGGCTGGTACTAAACCCCTGGGATTAAGCGATCCTCTAGCCTCAGCCTCTCAAAGTGCTAGGACTACAGGCATGAGCCACCATGCCTGGTCCTATTTTAATATTTCGGATTATTTCCTTGGGCTTCTGAAATGTATTGCCAAATTACTTTCTAAAAGTGGTTAACCAATTTACATTGCTTTCAGTTTCTTAACCAATGTTATCAGCGTTCTGAAAGTTTTTCAGTGAGAGTAGTATCCTAACTATGAATTCTTATTCTCTGATTTCTAGAAATATAATGAGAGAGGTCAGCATTGTCTGCAACCACTTACCCCAATGGGTGTATGACCAAATATGTTTTGGAGAATCTTACAATAAAGGCTCAAAGAAATCCTTCTTGAAAGACTGGACTTCGTTAACCCGCATTTCCAAAACTTATTTAAAATGGGATTAATTTTTCTCATATAATCCATTAACAAACATCTTTGGGAAATGCCAGCCATATAATATCTGCGGGAAAAGGAATCTGCTTATGATGCAATAGATACTTTTTGGGTAAAAAATCTCATGTAGGGGAAGCGGTAAGGCCGTCTGTTCTAACATCATGCCACTCCAGTGGTAAGAGACCTAGCCTGGTTTATTTATTCACTAAATAAATGTGCTGAGAGCCTATTTATGTGCTAACTGCGGTAACTATTGGGGACATAGGAGTTAACAAAGTCAAGTCCCTGTCCCCAAGTAGACGATAAAGTGGGAAGACTGAACATTATATATGCAACCATTTAGGGGAAGCTTCTGTACACATTGTTTTGCATGGAATAGGTTTTCATTTGAAGAATATTTGAGTGCTTTCTATAAACAATGTTAATCCCTGGGTTAAACAAAAAATAGACACATTACACTTACCATCAAAAAGGTCATCTACTGGGAAAACATAAATAATTATAATATGGAATGATAATTACTGTGATGGTATTTACATAGTGTGCTGTAGAAACACAAAGGAAGGGAACCTAGTTCACCTTACGGGTTCCTCTGGTAGGGATTTGGTTCACTTAAGAGTTTTATGCCACTGTCGTAGAACTGAACACATATTTGTTTCAGTGCGTGACTGCTGTGAACTAAAAACATCTTAATTGACAAAGACAATACCTAATTTTGATTTAGAACATAAATTTACCAAATTCTGCCCACCTATTTGCTATATTATGATCAGTGCAATCTTTATGTTACTTCTGTATAAGTCATTATAAGTCAGTTCTCAGTGTTTTTTTTTGTTTTTTTTTTTGTTTTTTTGAGATGGAATTTTGCTCTGTTGCCCAGGCTGGAGTGCAATGGTGGAATATCAACTCACTGCCACCTCTGCCTCCCAGGTTCAAGTGATTCTCCTGCCTCAGCCTCTTGAGTATCTGGGATTACAGGTGCCCACCACCATGCCTGGCGAATTTGTTTGTATCTTTAGTAGAGACAGGGTTTCACCATGTTGGCCAGGCTGGTCTCGAACTCCTGACCTCAGGTGATCCACCCTCCTTGGCCTCCTAAAGTGCTGGGATTACAGGCGTGAGCCACCGCACCTGGCCTGTAAGTCAATTTTTATCTGTTCCATCATGGAAAAGAGAGCAAGATTGGAGTAAGAATCTTATATTGCATATGCATGAAATTTTAAAAAATGGTTACAGGATAGCCAAAAAAGTCAATACACCCATTAACAGTCTGGAAACTGACTATACTGTAGCAGATGGGAGGTGCGAAGTAGAGCTTTGGTCTATCAGTCTGTCCTTGGTATCATCAAGTACTGAAGAAATTCTGACCCTTGTAGGATGTGATAGGAAAAAAATGAAGCCCATGAAAACTATAATTTAAAAAAATTAAATAGTAATTTTAAATTATAAAGGTTGCTTACCACTGATTCAGGAGAAAGACAGGTTAGAGATACTGTTTGAGGATTGCAGGCAAGGCTTGTCTGTATAATTTTGATTGTTTCTTTGATAATAGAGGTAAAATATGTTATTAGCTATGTTGCAGAGCAGGATTAACTTGGCCTCTGCCCAGTAATTATCACGTGTTCATATGCAAGAAAGACAGTCATTGAGAAGTCTGATGCAAGAGAGACATCTTTGTAACAGGCCCACAATTATTTTTTAGGGGAATTGGAGGCAGAATGAAGTCATTGGCAATTTATCTCTCTGTGATCTTTCTATCACTATATAAATACCTAACTTACAAAGCAGCTCTAGTTGCCATTTCCCCCTTTCTCCTTAAATGGATGAATGTTTGTGATTTAGCATAAAGTTCATGAACTAAGAAAAGCAGTTGGGCACAGAATCCTGTATCTTTCCACGCAGTGTATCTTAATACCTTTAACTGTCTGTTAAAATAATGCTTTTAGTTTTACCTTTCCATAATGAATTGCCATCACCAGGCTTAGCAAATGAAACAGATTACTTATGGTAACCGTAAGTAGTTATGCACTCCAGATCCTTGACAGAGCCTTCCCAAAGGACAGGCAATGTCTTTCAAAATCCTATTACAAGATTTTATTTGCAGATGCTAGGAACAGAAGGCTAGAGCCTCCATAGTTTATTGCTACTCAACTTCATCAGGTCTGCTCACTCTATTGAAAACTGTGGCAAAAATGATATACATCAGCTCTTTTATTTTTTTGTTACCACTCTGTGCAAATAAAAGCATATTGGGGAATTTAATGAAGCAGTATGTCCTTGGAGGGAGCTTTAAAGATTCTGAGTGTACAACTATTTGTCTTTAATACTGGAGGTTTCTGTGTAAAACTGGCAGGAGCAAAATAAAGTCTTCACAGACCAATGTTTGCCACATACACACTTGAATCGCACAAATGTCTACGCAGCGGTGACCTTGGAGATGGATGCATTCAGTGACTATTATAGTGGCTTTTGAGGTGTGTCAGGGAGTAGTTAGGACAGTGAAAACTACAGCAGAGCTGCTGGAACTGTGGGATTGTTTTGGAGATGGTCGGCTACCTCAGGAAGTGAAGACTGTGATGTTCAAACAAAAAATTGGGGGAGGGGTTGATTACTCAACAAATTACCCAATTCAACCCAAGGACACATTCTGGACTCTGTGCTTGATGAGAGTACATCTTAGCTTGCTTTGGCCTTCTCAGGTATAGTGGCTTTTCATCAGAATCTGGGAAAAGTAGCAGTGATGGATCTGTGCTGCAAAGGTCTAGGCACACAGGAAGAATAGCATTCCTTTGCTTGTCATGAGGTATAGGCTTCAGGTTATATGGGATTCCTGGCCTGCCAGCTTAACTCTCCTTACTAGTGACCTGTAAGAACACAAGTATATGTTGATAACCTTGTCAGAAGGATACTCTTGATTGTGCGTAAATTTCTAAGCTTCAGTACTTTGTTAGTAGTTAATACTTTTATACCTCCCAGTTGATCAGAAAAAAATATAAGAGTATGAGTGGTGCTGTAATTGTGAAATGGCAGCCCAAATGGTATTGGAATCTATAATGGTTGGTCTCTTACTTGTTTGCAGGCTTAACCCTGCCCATATACCACTTCTCTTCCCTGGGACCAGCCTCCGAGGCTGCTATTTATTGTTACTTTGAATGTCGGAGAATGCAGTTCTCTGGCTTAGTCTGGGGGAATGCCAAAGGAGCATGTAGTCCTTTAGCCTGTCAGAAATTCCAAGTTGCAGCACCTCTAGATATATGTGACCAGATAGTACTTAACTCATTGTTAGTAGGAATCTCACCAGTGACATCTACATGAAAATATTATTCCAGTAGCTTAGTAAATATAACCCTACACAATAAGTGTCAGAAAACAAAGGAAGATATTTTTCCTCATTTCTGAGGCTGAAAGGCCTCTTCCTAACTGGAGCCACAAAATCTTTAGTGTGTAAAAAAATCTTGAAATGAAGTGAGAAATGGCTGATTTCTTTTTTTAAAGCAACTTAATGTCCTGTTTGCTACTAAACATTTCTGGGTGTAATAATTCTTATTTAGCAGTCAATATTTCCCCATGATAACAACCAAGAATTTTTAGAATGTTTTGGGGCACAAAACACATTCTATTTTAGACACTGAAAGATCATTTTAATGTTTGCCTCAGAATATAAGCTGCAAAAGTTTATGAGGTAATTTCAACAGTTCTCACAAACGTTTCCTTAATGTTCCCCATGTCTATTCCTGCAGTACCTTTTCTGTCTCTATCTTGGCAAATCTCATGCTATCGTAGTACTTGGTTTGTCTCTTTCCCACTTAAACTAGAGCTCTGGGGCTGTCTTACTTGTTGCATCTCAAGTATTTTGTGTGGTGCCCAGTATTTATTTGAAGAATCAAAGAAATGCTTAAGAATATTTTCTGAAGCTGGGTCTGGTGGCTCACGCCTATAATCCTAGCACTTTGGGAAGCCAAGGCTTGATCCAGGAGTTCGAGACCAACCTGGGCAACATGGTGAAACCCAATCCATTTAAAAAAAAAATTAACAGAGCATGGTGGTGTGTGCCTGTAGTCCCAGCTACTCAGGAGGCTAAGGCAGGAAGATCACTTGAGCCTGGGAGATCAAGGCTGCAGTGAACCATGATTGTGCCACTGCACTCCAGCCTGGGTGAGTGAGCAAGATCCTGTCTCGAAAAAAAAGAATATTTTCTGAAAATCAAGCAGCTTCATATAATTGACTCTAACCTTTTTATAGCACATTTTCCATTATTTTAAAACCTGGTGTATGAAGGAAAGATTGATAGCATTAGGTAGTACTCTTATTGTATTACTTATAAGAATTTTTTGGGAAGCTTTGTACTTCTGCCTTAATTAGGAGAAAGTCATACAGGCAGTAAGCACAGAGTATGAAAAGGGAGCAGGAATATTCAGTCTTTGCCTTTAGATATTACCCAGATGTCTTCTGACTTCCAGGGTTTTGGACCCTACCTGCCTCAATATTTGAGACCTAGTAACTCTTTTTGTATGTAATCTGGATCGTTGATAATGCTTGTCTGATCTTTTGATACCTTCCTAATCCTGCCAGCCTGGCCTAATTCTGTGCACTTGATGCATAATTGCCAGACCTTTTCTACTTAATTGGCCCCTGGCGTTGGCCCACCCTGCCTGCCATATCACTGTTGATCCCTCCAGTGACGGCTAATTTGACCTAATTGTTTATAACATATCACTTACCAAAACCTCTGTGTTTTACTATTATCTGCAAATACATTTATTCAACAACTGTATCTTTATTTGCAATAACATGGAAATTTAGATTAAAACATTTTACAGATTTGTTTACTAAAAAAAATACACCCTTACTATAGCATATCAAATTCACCAGAAGGCCTTGGGTTTAGTTATTAGGGCTCATGGTGAATGTGGAGTCTAAGACATAGTAGTACTATGACTTCTCTAAGAGATACCATGGAAGCTAAAAAATTAGATATCTATGCTGTACAAAATATAGGAAGGCATGTGAAGGTGTTACACATTGTTCCTCCCTAACTTTAAGGATATAAATGTACAAACAAGAGGTATGTGCCAGCTGTGGTCTGACTTAGAATTGTTCTTGAATTCTCCAGTAGTAGTATTAGAAATTGTAATTCTGCCTTCCAGATTACTAACCTTGTATATGTGTGCAAAAAAAGCCTGTACTGTGGATATTGTTGTAGGAATATATTCACACACTTATTTTTAAACATTAAAAAACCTTTTATTATGGAAAATCTCAAACCTTCATTTTAGCCATTTTTGGAAATCTTTTAAATCTTCTTTTGTACCTCCAAGTTTGTCTGGTATCAATTCCTTGTGCCTGAAGAACTTTCCTTAACATTTCTTACAGTTCAGGTCTATGGCTAATAAATTCTGTCACGTGTTTTGGTTTGAAAAGTGTTCATGTCTGAGAGATCTTCTGTCAGCGTAGAATTTGGGGTTGGTAGTTGTTTTTTTTTTCGTTTTCCTTTCAGCGATTTAAAGATGTCATTCTGTGGTTTTCTACTTTTCATAGTTTCTAACAAGAAGACTACTGTAATCTTTGTTTTTCTGTATGTGATGTGTCTTTTTTTACCCCTCTGGCTGCCTTCAAGAAGATCTTTGTATCTTTGGCTTTCAAGGGTTTGAGTATAATAGGTGTAGGGGGTGTGTGTTTGTGTATTTATTCTGCTTGGGATTCTCTGAACTTCTTGGATCTGTGCTTTGATTTCTTTCATTATTTTTGGAAAATTTGCAGTCATTTTTTTCAAATATTTCCTCTGCCTCATTCTGTCTTCTTCTTGGATTTCAATTACATGTATGTCATATCATTTGTTATTATCCTATAGTTCTTGGATGCTTTATTCTGGTTTTTAAATTTTGAGTCTGTGTGTGTGTGTGTGTGTGTGTGTGTGTGTGTGTGTGTGTGTTTCAGTTTGGATAATTTCTGTTAACCTGTCTTTGAGTATACTGATTTTTTTCCTTGCCTGTGTTTAGTACACTGGTGAGCCTGAGAAAGGCATTCTTCATCTTTGTTACCATGTTTGTTTGTTTGTTTTTAGTATCCCTGGATCCTGTCTTACAGTTCCTGTTTTTCTGCTAGAGTTTGAGGACTCAGGTTTCAGACATAGATTTTCCACTTGTTTTCTTTGATTTTTGTTTTCCTATTCTATAAATTAGAAAAGTCAGGAGTATATAGTAATTAACAGAATTGTTTTAGGAATCAAATGCGGTCATAGATAATATAAATGTATGCCCTTGGGCAAGCCTCTTCTCTTCTCTGGGTTTCAATCACTCTCACTAAAGGCTTGGATTATATGATTATTTTGGTACTATTCAGTTCCTAAACCGCAAGATCCTGTGAAGGGGAGAGACCTAACATTTACTGAAAGCCTGGTATTAATCTCATGTGGAATCTGAGAAAGGGGTAAAATCACATTTAAAAAGTGCTGTTGCAAAACAGTTTACTTTTGCTAGGTCTATGCAGAATTTTAATTGGAAGAAACAGCATTAAATCCTGTTGCCACTTGGTTAAATCTGTTAAAGAATTATTAAAAATTTTCAACTCTTCGGTTTTCTGACTCACTTGAGAAACTTCATGGCTCATAACACATCTCACTTGCTTTCCCTGTACCAACAGGATTTAAAATTATTGAGTTGGCTCCCAAATTTTTCAATGTGAGGAGAAACTAATTGAGGTTATTGCTTTTTACTAACTAGTACAAATAAAAAATAGTCTTATTGGAATAGGCTTTGGAGTCACAGACTTGGGGCGGGGAGTGGGGGGGAGGGCGCCAAAGACTGATTGTGCAGGTGTGAAACCTTAGGCTGATTATTTAACTTCTGAGCCTGAGTTTCCTCATCTGTGAAATAGAGACGATACCTACATGAGCTGTTTTGAATGTAGAAGACATAATATTTGTAAAGCTTTGAGTCTAATGTCTGATTAATAGTAATCAATAACTGATGGCATTAACAATGGCAGCTAAAATGAAATATGCCACCATTAAGTCAAAATTTTAGTACGTATAAGGGAAAAAGAGTTTAATATTCTTTATATCCTTTTTAGTGGGAAGGTCCACTTGGTAAAAGGATATTTTAATAACAGAGAGAGGGTTAACTGAAAAGTATTGATGAATAATAATAACCAAGAATTGAGTGCATGCTGTGTGACTGGTGCTCACATTTGCTTCTCAAAACAGCCCTGTGAAGTAAGCCACCCCTCCTCCGCTAAGTGTTCCTTTGTCCAAGTGAGGGTGATCACTTTTGTTCTTCCATACTACTTAAGACTCTGTCAGTATTTTTTATATGTAACTCCTACCCTCTCTCCACTTCTCATTCCCAGTGAAAGAATTTCTGTGTATTTAGCACAGACGTGACCCACAGCAAGTTGAATCGACTTGTTGAGATGTTGAATCTTTGTATTTTTCTGGTCAAAAATGAACTATCTCTGTATGTTATAGATGAAAATTTAGGCATTAATGAACTGAATGTTGGTCTAAGGTAAAAATACTAAGAAAATAGTTGGGGATAAAGAAACTACACAACCAACCTGAGGCTTCTCCCTTTCTTCCCTCCCCATACATGCTGTTTGTTAAGACAAACAAATACAGCATTTCAAAGTAGCTTTTGCTTTATAAACTACCATAGAGTAAACGTAATGAATATCAAACATGTGTCCAAATTCTCTGTTTGGAAGCAGTTTTACTGTAATGGGTACTATTCAAGACTGAAATTATTTAATACAAAGAAACATTCTTTATTCACACTGTGAACAACTGTCTTCCAAAATACAGACCACAATACAGGCATTCTTATATGAATAATACAGAGAATTATGTCAAATTATTTTGCAGTTTTTCCTAGTCATAACAAAGTTTCCACAAAAGTGCGTTCTTGATCATAGATTTTAGAGTTGGAAGGAACCTAAGAGATCCAGACTAACTCCTTCCTGCCACCCAGAGATATGAAGCAATTTATCTAAATTCATGTAGCTAACTAATGACAGAGCCAGGGAGAGAACCAGTCCTTCATCTCTTACGCCACAATGCTACATTCCTCTGGGAAAAAAACTGCCTACTCATTCTTGGTTTTTAATGCTAGTTAGAGTCTTAGGGTAAGGTTTTTTTCCATGACTAACTAGTGCTCTTTTGTTTTCTGTGTGGGTGTTTGGGAACAAGCTAACTGGTTGTGTTTTTTGTTTTGTTCTGTTCATAACAATTATACAGTGTAAGGCAATAACAAAGCATTTGTTTAACACTTTAGGGGTTAGGAAGAAATTGTTTTAACTCCAATTCTCCGCCCTCATTGTTGATAGGCAGATATTTTAAAGTTGTGTTTTTTCATCTGGGGTTTGAATTCCCTAAATTCTTATGAAAATTATGTGAATATATGCTTACTTTTTTTCTTTGTTTGTTTTTGAGATGGAGTTGCGCTCTTGTTGCTCAGGCTGGAGTGCAATGGCGCGATTTTGGCTTACCACAACCTCCGCCTCCCGGGTTCAAGCGATTTTCCTGCCTCAGCCTCCCAAGTAGCTGGGATTACTGGCATGCACCACCACACCCGTTTAACTTTGTATTTTTAGTAGAGACGGGGTTTCTCCATGTTGGTCAGACTGGTCTCGAGCTCCCGACCTCAGGTGATCGCCCGCCTCGGCAACCCAAAGTGCTGGGATTACAGGCATGAGCCACCATGCCTGGCCTGTGCTTACATATTAAGAAAAGAATCTGTAGTTTTCATCAGGTTATCAAAGGATACATAGTTCAACACTATGGTTTTAGAGGGAGAGAGAACTAAGCCTGGTTGCACTCTATATATACTAATTGTACCAGAGGGCTCCCTTATCTCCAGCCCCCTCCTGCTCATGCCCTTTCCTCCTGACAAGACTTTTCCAAATAGCTTCCTGGATCTTGTCACGGAAGCCACTGGAGGCCTGAACCTTCTCAGAGGAACCTTTCCCATAGGTTTTCCAAGGATACCTTCTTTCTCCCTTCACTGCTTACTGTTTCCAGGAGAGGGTGTGAGACTCGGGCATTTTTGTTCATTAGAAAGCTCAGGGGGGTTATTTCAGTTAGATTTCCATTAAAAGGGATTTGTGAGCTGACCCGAGATCCTAAGACTATTGAAATAAGAAAAAAAAAAATGCAGTTGGAATTCCAGTCAATACTTTGCAAGTTAACTTTTAGAATGCCGCTAGTTCTGTAGTTCAGGATTCTCTGTGTTTGATCTAGAAACTAACATTTTCTAGGAACAAGATGAAAATGCATGGATTGTTTAGGAGCTGCACAGATCTGTCTATAGAAACTGAATTTTTTTTTGACTTAGATAAATCTACCCCTGAATAGGAATCCCGTTTTTGTTGTTGTTGTTGTTGTTGTTTGTTTGTTTTTGAGATGGAGTTTTGCTCTTGTTGCCCAGGCTGGAGTGCAGTGGCACGATCTTGGCTCACTGCAACCTCCGCCTCTTGAATTCAAGCGGTTCTCCTGCCTCAGCCTCCCGAGTAGCTGGAATTACAGCCCACCACCACGCCCAGCTAATGTTTGTATTTTTAGTAGAGACGGGGTTTCGCCATGTTGGCCAGGCTGGTCTCAAACTCCTGACCTCAGGTGATCTGCCCGCCTCGGCCTCCCAAAGTGCTGGGATTACAGATGTGAGCCACTGGGCCCGGCCTGAATAGGAATCCATTTTGATGGGCATCTTTCCTAGAAGAGAACATATATATAAACAGCACATTCTAACTTTTTTTTTAAGTTTAGCATCTGGACACACAAAGAAAAAGCTAGCATTAAGAGTGAAGTTGGAAGAGTGTATTCATTTATTTATTCATTTTTAAAAAGCCCTCACTGAGTACATATTATGAACCCTCAGGCATCATGTTAGATGCCGAGAAATAAGCCTGGTCTCTTCCTTATGACACTCACAGTCTGCTGGGACACAGCATAACAAATAAGAATGACAATTTAGCCTGCTAAAAACTCTAATACAGGTACCAAAAAAGCGATGAACTCAGTACCGGGCCTGGCCAGGAAGAGGGGTGGGAGTAGGGCCAGTGGAGTTATTAGCTGTGGGGGTTAGCATAAACGTCACAGAAAAGGTGACAAATATTTGAGTTGTGTCTTAAAGGTTCAATAGAAACTTGTTTGGCAAAGAAGGGCTCTAGCTATAGCTGGTGTATTTGTGCCCTTCTAACTTTAACTAAACTTAGCATTTAACACTCTCTTATTTTGTATTTCCAATTAGAGCTCCAAACGAGAATGGAAGCCGCTGGAGGACCGTAGCTGCACAGACATACCATGGCTGCTGCTCTTCATCCTCTTCTGCATTGGGATGGTAAGGAAACTCTCACAGATGGTCCAAACTGGACTCATGATCCAAGGGAATGACGAGTAGTTGTTTTAATGAGGGCAGTTGTGGAATATACCAGTCCTCATACAATTCAGTGGTATTTTGTGTCACTCTTGATTTGTTTTTCTACATGAAAACTGAGCTCAAATTAAGGAGCAGCTGGGACTCATATGCCATTCAATAGACCATTTCAGAAAGCAAATCATTTGACGTAAGTCTCTGAATGTTGATCTTGATAGAGTGGTGAGCAAAACAGTGACCATGAGTCATGAGCCCTGCATATTCACCCAACCCAGTCACACCAACTTGTTGGTTATCTTTAGGGCAGTCATTTCCTCTCAGGGACTTGGTGTTCCACAGTTCTTCCTAGATGGGAGGCTGGTTGCTCACTGCTCCTTCCTCCTTCTGCCTGTCCTAGGCCCCTGCTGCCTTCTGTGTCTGCTGTAATGAGTGGCATCTTTCGATTGGAGATGAAGGGACCTGGTGGTTTTCCAACGGCCCCTGCTGCCTGCTGTGTCTGCTGTAATGAGTGGCATCTTTCAATTAGAGATCAAGGGACCTGGTGATTTTCCAGTGGGTATAGAGAATGGAGGAGCAGAGTTGCTGGTATAAGGTATTAAGGATGTGCACATTCAATTGCATACTCACTCTGCCCTACAGGAGTTTCTGACACAGACTTCAGTGGCATTAGAGTCCCTGCCAGTGTGCTGGGCTGGAAAAAACATAGAAAACTGCTATTTTTAAAGCGGTCTGATATTTAGAAGTAGAAAGGACATGGAAATCCTCATCTAGTCCATCGCCCTTATTTTACAGATTAAAAACATCAAACTCAGAGATGGAAATTACTATCCCAAGGCCACACTGCTAGTTCATGACAGAGCTGAGAACAGAGCCCAGGTCTGTTCACTTCCAGATCAATGCTGTTTTCTAACACCCCATTTCCTCTTCCTCAAGGGGACTCTGCAGATACATTATTGCTCTCTCTTTCTTAGTCTTCTACAATTCAAAATGCAATTACACTACCTCAGGCAGCCTTGTTCCTACTCATGTGTATTTTTAACCCCCTTCTTACTATACCTTTTATAGAGTTTCTTTATGAAAATCTTGCTCTTTGTCTCCTCTGACTGCCCACCAGGCCAGCGCCATTTGTGAATCACAGAACAACTGTCATCTTGGCTAATAGGCACAATTGTAGGTACCAGTTCTGCCTCTGAGAAAAGGAAAAGAAAGCAATACATTTTAATGAGATACGATAAATCCAGTAAAATAAGGAGTGTTTATTTTAAAGATAAAAGCACCGTTTCACCAAATTTAGGATATTTAGGAAAGGTCAAAATACTCATCTCCTAACTTAATGACTTAAAAGATATTGCTCAAAAGTTTACTTAGTTTAATGGAATGGCAGCTGAAATATAACATGCATGAATGTTTATGCAGCGTGTGGAGAAAAAAAATTTTTTTTTTTTTTTGAGACAGAATTTTGCTCTTGTTGCCCATGCTGGAGTGCATGGTGTGATCTCGGCTCACTGCAACCTCCACCTCCCAGGTTCAAGTGATTCTCCTTACACAGCCTCCCAAGTAGCTGGGATTACAGGCATGTACCACCACGCCCAGCTAATTTTGAATTTTTAGATGGGGTTTCACCGTGTTGGCCAGGCTGATCTCAAACTCCTGACCTCAGGTGATCCACCCATCTCGGCCTCCCAAAGTGCTGGGATTACAGGCGTGAGCCACCGCACCCTGCCATAGAAAGATTCTTTGATAACAGAATTAGTCCACAGCCTTTCCCCACTCCCTGAATGTAACCCTGGGACAAATAGCAGCTGACCTTTCAAAATTGTTTACAAAAACATGTACCATGCCACCCGAGGTGCTTTGGATTTTCTGTGCTAAAACAGGTCAGGAAAGTGCAATCATTAATGTTAATAGGCTGATTTGGGAGTGACTTGAGACTAAGGAGTTATTTGTTTACTGAAACATTTTAATGCAATGGTAATTAATATAATGTTGATTTCAGTATGATGGTAATTAAGACCCACTGTGTGTACTTTTAAATGTTGGCATAGCATTATTTGTTTTCGAATGATTCCTTTAATGGATTACTACCTTCATGGAATTGAGCTAACATCGTATTTTGCCATGTGGAAATAAGAAATCTCAAAGTTCTATTCCTTGGCACAACAGAGATTCAGCATTTTTTGGCTTCTGAGTATTTGTTTTAAACGATTTTTAGACGATTTCTCTCTCTTTGGATTTCATTCTATAGTACTTTTAAAATAAACATTTAACAAACATTTGTTGGGCATTAATCTATGCTCAACACTTTAGTACGTGTATATATATATATCTGTATGTATCTTTTAAATTTTTTTCAATGAAATAGGTTTTATCCCCTGCTTATAGACAAAGTATAGCAAGGTTAAATATTAGCTTGTCTAAGAATATACTGCTGGAAATAAGTGGCAAAGATAGAATAGGAACTGGAACTTTCTGGCTATGTCCTTTTAATCGAGTGGCCCAGCTGCCTGCTTCTCTTACAGATTATTTCTTCTTAGTAATCTTGCAGCCTGACACTCAAACCATACCTTTATTCTCTGACTTTATTTGCAGTTTTTTGCTGATTTTTTGATACCTATGGTCTAGTTCTTAAATATTCTAAGATCTTGTCATCTTTCACTCATCTCTACCATTAAATCTTATACATGTTCATCTCTTCATCAATATTTGTACTTCTCTTTTATTTCTTCCCTTAGTTTCAAGGTTTTTCTAATGCTTGAGTTGTCTAGAACTTAGAGTGTTTTTCAAAGCAAGTTGCTGTCAGCCTTCTTAAGTTCTATCTTCTACATTTGAACTTTCATCACTATTTTGGAATTACTGGGCATATACTTAACTCTGCTCCAAAGAATTACTTGTAACATTGCACATTTGTATAAATATACAAATATAAATTTGTATATTTCATTAAGGCAGTAAACAAGTGGTTTTTAGCCCTAGCTGTACATTGGAATTAGCTGGGATCTCTTCTTTTTTTTCTTTTCTTTTTTTTTGAGACAGAGTCTTGCTCTGTCATTCAGGCTAGAGTGCAGGGTGCGATCTTGGCTCACTGCAACCTCTGCTTCCCAGGTTCAAGCAATTTTCCTGCCTCGGCCTCCTGAGTAGCTGAGATTTCAGGCACCCAGCACCACTCTTGGTTAATTTTTGCATTTTCAATAGAGATGGAGTTTCACCATGTTGGCCAGGTGGTCTCGAACTCCTGACCTCAAGTGATCTGCATGCCTCGGCCTCCCAAAGTGCTGGAATTACCGGTGTGAACCACTGTGCCCAGCCTAGAATTAGCTGGGATCTTTTCTAAAAAAAAAAAAAAAACCTAATTCCTCAGGCCTACCTCAGGGATTCTCATATAATCTCTGCAAACCTGATGTTCAGCCAAAGTTGAGACCCACTATTATAGGCACAGATAAACCACTGAAAAGTATTGAGCAAGAAGTGATATGAGTGGGTTTAGAAAGATGGCGCTGGCAGCTAATGTTAAAGATGGCTTGGAAGGTTGAAAGAGGTTTCAGGCAGATCACTCTGGAGGCTGATGTAATGGTCCAGATAAGAGGTGAAAAACCTGAAATAAAGTAGTGCTAAAGGAGAGGAAGAGAGAGATTGAAGAATTAGGATCCGTAACATTTATCAATGGTGTTATCAGTGTTGCAGACAAGTGAGAGACAGATCAAGGATGACTAAGAGGTTCTTGTGTTAGGGGTTCAGGATAGGTTTCTCAGCTCAAATCCCACCCCAGCTCCTCCTGGGTTCTCAACCACGGTTTCTGTACACATCAGGAAACAAGAGTGGGATGGATAAATAAAGCACCACTTTATTAGTAGATACCTGATTATGCCCAATAAGGTACTCCCTGGTAAAAATAACTTGTGGAATGAAGCTTGGGCCCAAAAGGCTAAAGTTCCTTCCCATCTAGGATGGTCTGACTTCATTCTGTCTCAAGGAGAGGTATTTGTCAGAAAAGGAGAAGAAGAGAGAATGGAGATCTACCTGGATGAAATCTGCCCAGATTAGCTTACCACAAAAAGGCAAGAAGGGAGGAGGCTGGATGGCCCTAACAAGAGTGCTTACCATGGAAAACAGAAGATACAGAGACCCCCTACAACTTACTTACCCTAGTAGTTATTGCTGCTTACTATGAGCTAGACACTGTTCTTAGCACTTGACATATAGAAACTCATTTAATTCCCACACCTGCTCAAGGACGTATACATTGTTGTTATCACATTCCCATTTTACAGAGAAGGAAACAGAGGCATAGAGATAAGCTCAATAACTGTCTAAGATTACATAGTGGCAGCACTGAACCCAGAAGAGAAGAGGTAGAAGGGGAGGCCTCAAGAGGTAGACCCCACTCTGTTGCCTGGAATTGAGGACAACAGAAAAAGTTGTTCAGAACATGGACCTGTAGGACCAGTAACCTTGCTTGCCAGTGAAACGTGGTCTCATCAGTATCTCAGGCTCTGACCAAATCGCTTGGCATCACCTCTTCCTTTAGTATGTTGTTAGGAAGCTAGGGTGAGGAGCAGAAGCATGGAGAAAGGAGACTGCAGTCTTCCACTTCATATCTTGTGTGTGCCATCTAGTAGATAAGTGGTGCCACCAATGGAGATAGAGTATATGGAGGAAAGGGAAGTGTGGAATGAGAAAATGAGTTGTGGACATGTAGAATTTGTGAGTAAGGAGAAGCAGTTAGAAATGCAAAGTTGGAATCTTGGAGAATGATCTGGAATAGAGTTGGATTTAGGGGACATCATCTCATAGTTTGTCCCTTCAGACTGCTTTCAAGGAAGGACCTTTTCTATTTTATATAGCATTGATTTACTTCCCAGGGCATGATGTTTCTACCTCATTAACTATTGTTGAGCGTGCAGAACAGAGTGAGAGATTCACTGCAGTATTTAGACACCTGTTTGATGGGCTGTTCTTTGCTGGGATCACAGAAATAAGAACAACAACATTCCAAAAATTACCATAAGGTTACCTGATCCAAATGACTTGCTACTTTCTATTAAGTCTGTTTCCTTTCTTTATTTTAATATTGTGATTATTACTTATTAATGTACCTAACATAGTATTTACCATTTTAACCATTTTTAAGTATGTAGTTCAGTTAAATTCATTTGTTTTTAATCTGCTTTTGCTTTATTTATTCTCAGTCACTGTAGTAAACCAAACAGGTGTGAACTTCTCCCTGCAAGTATACTCTTAAAAATTGTACTCTGTGTCTGCTTTCCCTTAGAATCATAATAGTTTTGAAGAGGAAGGGCTTTAGAGATTCATCTAATTCTATCCTTGTGATGATAAGGAAACTGAGGCTCAGGGAATAAAAAGTTACTTGCTCATGATGGTAAGGAGTGTTCATGGCAAAGTGAGGGTCAGTTTTCAGTCTTCCTTGTCTGTGTTCTTTTCATTGTTTTAGCTGCCCATGAAATTGAGCCTATGATTTCACTCCCTCATGCTGATTATTTTCTTCCCTCTTGAGGACACTTCAATTCTTTTAGGGTAAACCTTGCATTTGTATATGCTCAATAAATGCTTATTGAGTAGTTATTCCCTAGACTTTCTATCGTTTTTTTTTTTTTTTTTTTTTTTTTTTTTTTTTTTTTTTTTTCAGAGTCAAGGTCTCACTCTATTGCCCAGGCTGGAGTGCAGTAGCATGATCATGGCTCACTGCAGTCTTGAACTCCTGGGTTCAAGCAATCCTCCTGCTTCAGCCTCCTGAGTAGCTGGTACTACAGGCATGTGCCACCATGTCTGGCTAATATTTTTATTTTTGTAGAGACAGGGTCTCACTATGTTGCCCAAGCTGGTCTCAAACTCCTGGCCTCAAGTAATTCTCCCACCTCAGCCTCCCAAAGTGCTGGAATTACAGGGATGAACCACTGCTCCTGGCCTCATTCTTTTTTTTTCCTTCTTCTTTCCTCATTCTTAGAGAGAGGCATCCTATTACATTTTTTTAAAAGTCTGGAAATCTGACAGATTGATACAAGTTTATAATTAATTTTGTTTAATTTGTTTACATAAATACTCACTCTGCATCAGGCCTTTTATCCTGCCCTATCTGCTGGGTCCCAATAGCCCTCTGTATCTTAAGGTTCTCAAAAGAGGCGAAACAGAAGGCAAATGTTCCAGGATTTTACAAATCAGTTATTATGAGCTCGAGCCCAAGCACTGATGAGATACGGGCTTTATAGAGGTTAAGTGAAGGAGGTGGTATCTGAGAAAAAGAGAGTCAATATATGTTTTCATTAATTCCACAGGAGAGGGCTTTAAGCAGAACTCCTTTTTTCCCTACCTTTTTATTTTGAAACATTTTGCCATACTCATACACCATCTCCCACCCACTCTATACATGTTTTTGTTGACCATTTTTTTCAAAACTAAATTTAGTCCTTCTGCTTTGCTCAGTTACTTAGTAAAAGCTCTATGTGTAAAATTCAAACATGCTTGTGAAATAAAAGTGTGTCCTTTTTTTTTTTTTTTTTTTTTTTTACTAATAGCAAATAAAACTAAGCAAAAGCCCTTACTTAGGTACAACTAGACCTTGTGATATGAAGGGAAAATGAGCACAGTTCATTAATGAGTAAATTGTCTTTCTCCACTTAGGCAGTTGGTACTTATGAGTTGCCAGGTCATGCCTCTGACCCACCATCCCTGTATGCCTTCATCTGATTTAAGTCACCTCCTATTTGTGAATAAATTTGTCTGTTCCTCTTCTCTCTCTTAAAATAGCAGTGCTGAAAGCACTTCCATAGCTCAGTCATTTGAACATTTTAGCCGTGGTTTTCTTCCTTGCTAATAGTCTTACTTTCTCTCTAAGATTGCTTCCTACTCCATGCTTATGAAAGCCTTCCTTATGCCCTTATCATTTGCTTCATTAATGTGATTTTTCCTTCTGTTGAATGCCTTTTCCCTCTCTCTCTGCTGAACCATTAAATTATGGAGTGTATTCTGTAAAGTTTCTCTCACCCCACTTTAATTTCATGTGCCACATTTTTTCCTTTCTGAAACTATATTGCTTCCCACATTCGGATTTTAGAATTTTTCTTTTTAAAGAGATTGTATTTTTAATTATATTTGGCCTACTTCCCCATTGTCAATGCTTGTACCGTGTGAGAAGTCCCTAGGATGATAGTCATGGTTTTTTCCCATCTTATTAGCTTATTATTCTCCTTGCCCACCCCCCACCCCTGGCAGCTTCCCACCCTCTCTAATGCTTCTGGAAGCTACTAAGAAGTTTAAGTGGCCTATGTGAAAATATGTCAGTGTCCCATTTTAGCATATATATGTAACATTTACAATTTATACCCCTGCCTACATCCGAGAGGGTTGTGAGGTGGCTTATGATGATAAAGAAAAAAACCCACATGTCCAACAGTACAGTTAAGAATAGTCAGAAAAGGAAATCAGAAACCACTTAAAGGTATCTGTAACACAATGTACTTATCAAACATAAGAAGAAAATTCCTATAAAAAGTAAAAGAAGAACATAACCTTTTAATTATCTAACAACTTTGCTATTTTAGATTAGTAGTGAAAGAAGATTGTAATTGTGGTCTGAAAATATTTTTGTACGGTAACGAAATTACTGGCATTCTCACTGTTCCCCCTAGAAATTTTTGTTCTAAAATAGAGAACCAAAGGGGTTTTTGTTAGTGTCCAGTTACTGTTGTTAACCTCTTTAGTCTGACTTTCCCATTCAAATTCACCCCTAACAGCTACCATTTATTGATCACCTGCCATGTACCAGACATTCAGCTAGGGATCGGATATGCATTATTTCATTTAGTTCTCATCATTAGGCTGTGAAATAGATGGTATTACTCTGTATTAGAGATGAGGAGGGAACAGAGTCTAAGTATGTAATTAGATCAAAATTACACAGCTAGTAATTGGCAGAGTGAGGGTTTGAATCCAGGTCTTACTGAATACGAAGTCCATTCCCTTACCATTAATCTGAGTCTTCTTGTTAAAACATGTGTTGGAGGCCACACGCGGTGGCTCACGCATGTAATCCCAGCACTTTGGGAGGCCGAGGCAGATGGATCACTTGAGGTCAGGAGTTTGAGACCAGCCTGGCCAATATGGTGAAACCCTGTGTCTACTAAAGATACAAAAATTAGCTGCATGTGGTGGTGCATGCCTGTCCTCCCAGCTGCTCAGGAGGCTGATGCAGGAGAATCGCTTGAACCTGGAAGGCAGAGGTTGCAGTGAGCCGAGATCGTGCCACTGTGTTCCAGCCTGGGTGACAGAGCTAGACTCCATCTTAAAAAAAAAAAAAAAAATGTGTTGGAAAGGTTAGCTATTAAACCTCCTAATACTTAACCTCCTTTTCCAGTTTTTACTCAGCACAGGGCTTCCTAATTTGGAATTCAAAGATATGCTTAAAATGGTATGCTGATTCACACATGTAAATATGCAAATATGTATGCAGAGGATTAAATATTTTTTTTCTATGTCTTAGCATTGGGTTGAAGTTCTGAGGTGGGATTGACTGCCCTGTAGTGTCCTTGGAGGAGTCAGGAGAGGGGGAGAGGGGCAACAGGGTGAGTGTGAATGAGTAAGTACTGACCAGCTGTGTCTAACCCTGCTGCTAGCAGTTTGTGCTGCTTGGAGGCAGAAGGAGACTAACATGTATTGAGACTTGCACTTTACATGTAACATGTATTATTTCATGTAATTCTCATAACAGCCTTTGTGGTAAGTGGTTTTAACTTTAACTTATAGATGGCAAACTGAGGCACAGAATTAAGTAAGTTTGTCCAAGGTCACCCAAGAAGAAAATGGACTCATCAGTATTCCATTGATCAACACAGGCTTTTCTGACCCCAAAGCCCACCATCTTTCCCTTATAGCATATTCTCATTTCTAATAATAGTACCTAACAACTATAATAGCTAAGACTTTATTGAGCTCTTACTATATGCCAGGCAGGTTTTTTACCACTTTACTGGATTACATCATTTAATCCTCACAACAGCCTGATGAGCTACAATTATCTCAATTTTACAGATGAGTAAATTGAGACAGAAAGTTGAAGCTAGTGAGTAGCAAATCAGGGCTAGTCTCTACTCTCAGTCTACTTTTTTACGAAGTATAGCTTCACGAAGTTTCTACTGACTGTAGCTATGTTCTCTATTCTTTCCTTGTAGCTCCCTTACCTGCACAATGAAAGTACAGGGCTTATTTAGAACACAGTTTGTTTGCCTTTTTGGGTAAGTATATTTAAAGGGGAAATACTTTTCTCTGAGGAATTGCATATGAGTATAGTATTTTCCACTGTAGGCCTTGGATCTAGCAGGGCTATTTACATAAGTACTACTCGTGATACTTGGCTGTGATTAATTAAATAATGATAGTCTCTGCCTTCTTAGCCAGTTTACTAAAGATAATAAAAATGTAACCTTTTAACGATCAGATTGCAAGAATAGTTCTTAACCTCAGTCTTTCCCACCAATACAATCAATTTATCAGTAGTGATTCACTTTCTGTTCTTCTGGCTAGTAGCTTGCTGTCAAGCGTAGGCTTTTATTGCTTTGTTTTGGTCAGTGCATGCTTGACTTAGCAAGCATGATGTGCTTCTGAAGTATCTACCATTTGCCTTTAGTACTGTGATGAAGCATATTCCCATGAAATGAAGTGACCTTTGCAGTATACAAAGCCAGTGCCTTACTCTCCTCCAGTCTTCAATATTAAGAGCATGGCAGTGCTTCACGATGTAATTCTTTGACTTGTATACAGCTTTATTGCAGGAAGGAAACAGAAGTATTGGGTGCACTGAAGTGATAATGATTCAAAACCCACGTTCCTATTGTTCTTTGAATTTTTTTCTTTCATCCTTTGCTGATGTTCACTTAACGGAACCCCTTTACAACCAAATGAAACTAGAGAATGAGGGAAGCTGGGTTTGATTCTATGCTCTGATCTTTACTAGCTTTGATGGCCTTGGATAACTTGTTTAACATCTCTACGCCTCAGTTTCTTCATCATGAGGATTAGAGATAACGTACTACAAGCACCTATTAAGAGTACACAAACTGGCACAGAGCAGATGTTCTGTAAAGGGGAGCTGCTATTATTACTATTATTATTATTATAAAATTCAAAGTTGACCTTATGATGTAAAGGTTGGGATTTGTTTTGTTATGGTAGTAAATAGTGTTTCCCTATGGACTTCTTTGTACTGTTTATGTGCAATCCAAGGAAAACAGTGGAATAGTGTTTGCAGTAAGAAAAGATAGCTCTTTGTTCCCTTCAGCAGACAAAAAGAAGCTCATTATCGTATCAACTAGTGACTGTTGGCTATTGAAATGGTTTATTTGTATGTTTTTTTCTGTTTCTTTCCTAGGGATTTATTTGTGGCTTTTCAATAGCAACAGGTGCAGCAGCAAGACTAGTGTCAGGATACGACAGCTATGGAAATATCTGTGGGCAGAAAAATACAAAGTTGGAAGCAATACCAAACAGTGGCATGGACCACACCCAGCGGAAGTGAGTAGACTTGCTGAATGATGAACACATGGAAACTTTGAAAGAGGCACAGAGAAAATCCTGCTGTTCTTGCTGTTTTAAAGATAATATCTTACCAAATATTATTTTTATGTGACTTCTGTTGGTGTGTTTGATTTTTTTTCACTGAACCCTTGAATGATTCTTCTTATTGGTCTACAAATAACATTCTTCAGGAAACAGAATTAGCTACCATGTTAAAATGGTCTACCTTTACCCATGTTAATGGGTAAAGGCTTGATTTGAAAAGGTTATTCTTTTACTCTTTTTTTTTCTTTAGCCTTTAAGTTATATACTAGTTTTAACCCTGTAACATATTTTCCTCTAAGATTATGCTTAATGGGAGACAGAGGGATGATAATGGATTTTGAAATATTAACATAATAGAAAATATTTTATGTTGTATCATTTATAAGTATACATCAGTTTCCAACTTTATAAAAGATACATTTTGTCAGACTTTAAAATTTGCTTTGGGTTCTCAATATTCATCTTTTAGATTTCATGAAATTCCTGACTTAATTGACTGTTTTCTTCAAAAGGGCTATCATTTTGTTTTTAATACCTGTAGGGAAAATAGATTTCATCTAGCATATTTTATGTATGATGCTAATATATTTGTACAGACTATATATTTATGCCCCATGAAACCTTATTAGGCATTTTAAGTATCTAACTTGTTCTTCAGAATTAACAAAACTAATTTTAAGGTAGTAGGCTAACTAATCCAGTTAATGCACTTTATAGGAAAAGGCTAAGCAGGTATCATTTTTAAGGTTATAGGTCTATTATAAAGCATTTTCCAGGAAGGTGGTATGTAATAACTGTATTTATTATTATATAAATCTGTCAGTTAAATCTGGGCCCCTAGTGGGAAGTATAAGATTAATTTGATAATGTCACAAACCTGAAGAAATCCAAATAGTTAATTTCTCAGCGTTATTACTCCCATTAATGAAGATAAGATAATGCAGTTTAAATAAACAAAATTGTAAATAACAGCGATGAGTGTTTGTATGGCATCCCAAAGTCAACTAGCATGTGATACCACCCTGTGAGGTAGGTGAAACAGAGGCTTGGAAGATTGAAGTAATTTTCCCAAAGTCACATGTCTGGTGGGCTGTAGAATATCCAGCCCAGAAGATGAGTTTTTCTCTTGATATGCACCTGTATCCATTGAGAGAAGTGAAAGTTGGACTCTTAGCAATTTGAAGAATTGTTACATTTCTTCTTCTTTATGATTGCTTCATGAAACTAATGCAAATTTTAGACTGTATGTTATTTCTTGTAGCAAGACTACGATTTTTTTATTTTTATTTTGAAATAACTTTAGACTCATATAAGTTGCAAATATAGTACAGAGTTCCACAGTACTATTTTTTGTAGATAGCATCTACTCTGTAAAATATTATTTAACTCTTTAATGCTGCTGACAGGTATCAAATATAAAATATTACAATTTAGATAATTGAGGAGATAAGAGGAAAAGGGATCTGCTCCGTCAGGTCTTCTGCTTACATGGGATTGGAATCATTTTTATGGCTCCTTTCATAACTTGCCATGACTCCAAGCCTGTTCTCACCATAAAGTTTGTGTAAATGCTACTCTTCATGTTTAACCTTGTGGTGATTCATCTGTTCAGTAGAGCAGGCTGCAAATACTTGGATTATTCTATGTACCTTTCAGCCTCTTCCAAGAGAGGCTACTTATGATTCTGAAAAAGTGGTCACTATTCCCTGAATGTTTAGAATAGTCAAGAGCCATTCATACAGAGGGAAAATAGTTTCCCAGGTGTAGCTGTTCCTTAATTCATGTACGCATGTTTAAAATTTATTTTTGATTTCTACTTCATCTTCTCTTACTGTATGACCTTTTTAGTGCTAACCTACTTAAGTATTTCTGTCTATAAGTGTTTTTGTAAAAAAATGAACAGACTTTTTTTTACCCTTCTCAGATAAGTCTATAATATTTCGATCTGAAAACAGACAGAAAAGCAGCAGTCTTTGTGTTTGTCACCTTCATTCCATCCTCTTCTTTCTCCTGAAAATGCATTGGTTTCCTTCCTTTACACTTATTTCCTCGTACTTCTTTGCTTCCTTATGAACTGTAGGCCCTTGTGTAGCTATATAGTATTTTTACACCTGTTTTGTCTGCTAATACTTCAGCCTAACCTTGATCACTTTCTCCTGTTCCTTACTGTCAGCCGCTAGTACAGTAGCTGGTCTTACTAAGACCTTTATACATATTTGTTGAAAAAGTCAACAAATCAGTCCTCTAAAATCTCAACTATAGCTCTTTCTTGACTTCATGAATATTGTTTCTTCTATCAGAAAAAAAATTCCTCCCAATCTGCACATGGCTAAACTCTACTCATCCTTCGGCTCTCAGCATAAATGTCACTTCCCAGAGAGGTCTTTTTGTTCTCATAATTTAAATCCAATATTCAAAAGTACTCTCATTATATCCTGTAATATGTGTAATTATATACTTATTTTTTGATTATTTGTTAAATGTGTATTCTAAGTGCCATGAGAGAAGAAATGAGATATATTTGATTCGCTGCTATGTCTCAGATCCTAGTTCACTGCCTAGAGCATAGTAGGCACACATTTAAATGCTTGTTGAATGGATAAATCAATTTATTTCCTTAGAATATGTTTTAAGAAGTAAATTAGTGAGTCTGAGGATTTGTATATTTTAAAATTATTAATGCATATTGCTGAATGGCTTTCCATAAAGACCGTTCCATTTATATTCCCACCAACAGTGTTTGAGATTGCTTTATCTTTGCTAGTATTATTAGTTTTTATTATTTACTAATTTTTTAAGCCAGAAAATGGTGTTTTATAGTTTTAATTTGCATGTCTTTGATTATTAATGAGTGTGAACCTTTTTTCCCCATGTTTGTTAGCCTTTCATGAAGACTGTTGTGCTAGCGTATCTATTCTTGGTCGTCTTATCTCTAATCTGCTCCATCCTTTATACTGTGATAAGATTAAGTTGTTTAAAATAGGGCTCTTATGTTGTCATTTCCCTCCTCAAGAGCCTTTCCTTTGGTGGTGTTGTCTATAGCATCAAAGAAGAGCCCACTCAGCCCTGCCCTTCCAGGACTCCTGTGATGTGGACCCGTTTCACCTATTCAGTCTCCTCCCACTGTTCCTCAGTGTGATGTTCTTATTGTCTGGGACATTCAATTGATTCTTACCTCTTTGCTGTTCCTTCTACCTTTCTGCCAGTCTGAATTCTTGAAACACTTAAGATGTGTCTCATAACTAACCTCTGTATGAAATGTTTCAAAACTAACCTTATCCATAGTGAGCTTTCCTTTAATTTGATTACCTGAACGTCCCTATATTATACTTGTTATTCTACTGCCTTCAGTTTGCACTCTAATTATATTGTGTGTTTCTCCTCTGTCTGTATTAATTGGCAGTTGCTAGGTAACAGTATTACTGTAAACTTAGTGGCTTAAAACAAGACACATCTGTGATCACTTTCTGTAGGTCAGAAATCTGGATGTGGCTTACCTGGGTCTTCAGCCACAGAGTCTCTCATAAGGCTGCACTTAAATTGTTGGTCAGGGCTGGGATTTCATCTGAGGCTCAGTGAGGGGAGGTTCCCCTTCTAAGCTCCTGTGGTTGTTGGCAGCATACAGTTCCTTGAGGGCTGTTGGACTGAGGGCCTTTGTTCCTTGCTGGCTGCCATTTTTTTGATGGTGGGGATCAGGGTGGTAGTAATATATTTTGAACTCTGATTGGGAATTCCAAAAACATACTTTTTCTGTCACATTCTAGATTGTCTACAATCTTTAGGTCTATAATATATAAGTAGGCTTAGAGTATATATGTCAATTTTAGATAAAAAATTATTATCATTATTATTATTATTATTGGAGGCAGAGTCTTTCTCTGTCACCCAGGCTGGAGTGCAATGGCGTGATCTTGGTTCACTGCAACCTCTGCCTCCTGGGTTCAAGTGATTCTCCTGCCTCAGCCTCCTGAGTTAGCTGGGACCACAGGCATGCACCACCGTGCCTGGCTAATTTTTTTTTGTATTTTTAGTAGAGACTGGGTTTCGCCATGTTGCCCAGGCTGGTCTCGAACTCCTGAGCTCAGGCAATCTGTCCACCTCGACCTCCCAAAGTGCTAGGATTACAGGCGTGCACGACTGCGCCCAGCCTTATTACTAATATTGTTATTATTGCCAGAGAGGAAGCTCGCTGTCTTCCATATCAATTTGGACAGAGCAGAAATGGTCCTGTTTAGTTGCAAGATGCCTGAATTAGTGAGTGTGTGGACTGAGCTGGGACAAAAGGTCTAGCTTTGTTTGCCTCTGGGGAGAAGATTGGGGTGAGGGCAGGGATGTTGTGCTTCTATCAAAGATGCTCCCATGTGCTGGGTGCCTGAGATGGGAGAAGATATGGCAAAGTGGTGGTAGCTCTTAGTAAGCATAGGCCATCATTGTAAAACTGGGTGACAGTAAGTAAGGAACTGCTCTTAATCTTTTTGACATAAGTATTAAGTCATTATTAGAACTTTTCCCTCATTCTTCAAACAGTCCTAACACAGAGCTTAGTGTCTACTTTCTTTGTTACTCCAAGAAGTTTTCCCAGTGTATCTCACACATCAGTATCAATTATTCCATAGAGGTTTTAAACATATATTTTTGCACAAATCTAATTTTCTTTTTTATCTTCTTGTCTTTCTTCCAAGGAAGGCATTTAAAGTCCCAGTCACTGATAAAGTCTCCATTGCCCTAAAATGCCTCTCCAATGTCAGATAATCTGTATTAACAGGTTGTAAAGAACTAGAGGTCTGCGGAGGATGATAGCATCTATGTATGAGTAAAATCTATAGGGGGTGCATTTTATTTGAGCTCTTTTCAATTTCCTGCATAATCTTTACCAGATTACCTAGTAAAAACAGAATCAGAGTGTGAGTTTTACTTCTTTCTCTTAATTGTTCTCATTGGCAAGATACTCAAAGTTTAAAATGTATGTGCTAAAACAATCCTTGAGATCATATTACAGGTGAAGAAACTGAGTCTAGGAAACATGAGTGACTTGATGGAGACAGACCAGCACTCAATTCTCACCCTCAGTCGGTGCTCTTCGCATCATACACTAAAATAGATCTGGTGAGCTGTATGGTAATTCCAGTTTCCCACCTTTTTTGCTTTGGGAGTTTCTCCCTCCTAACGTTTAAAGATGAAAGAAATTTTTAGGGGAACTTGACGAGTCCCCATTCACATTAAAAAAACTTTGAAAGGCACCAAAGCCCTTATACAATCTAGGAAGGCTTTGAGTAATTTGAAGGCAATTTTGTCTATTTCTTTCTCTGTCAAATAAAGAATATGAATTGTGATGATGAACTGCGTTTTTTTGTTTGTTTTTTTTTTTTTTTTACCATTTGTATGTTTTCAATATTTACTGAAAAATACTTAGCTTCAAATTGATAGTAGGGTTTTTTTAAGTAAGATAATTGATTGTTTAATAAACAGTGGTCTTATTTTAAGGAAACTCCATATTTGCAATATCTACACATATACAGAATAGGACTTTAGTGGCCACTGATCACCTTCTTTAAAGTCATAGTCCTGTATCTTTAGTGTCTCTGGTTCAGTCTACCCCGTGATCACATATTAACTTATGCAGAGGATTATTTAGGGGATTGTACCAATATGAAAACTGTGCTCACACTTTAAATGATTGCCAAACTTTCTGGGCCTATACTATACCACATAACCATCTATTTTAGGGAGAATATTATTCTTTAATTAGCATGTAAAACATGCCTCTTTTGAAGACTTTTTAAAGAGTTACTGAATCTTATCGACTGTGCATACCTGTTCCTGTTTGAAAAAGAACTAGAAAAATATAGATAAAATATGCTAAAATATTTGCATGGAAGATCCTCTTATCAGCTAAGCACTTGTACAGTGTTTCATTATGTGACTAGGACTTCTCTTCCTCGTGATGACTTAAATCATATTGCTGTTTACTGAGTGACTATCCTTCACCTTTTTTGAAAATTATGTTTATTATTTTATTTAGCCCTCAGCAAATATTTATGGAAAATCAGCTGTGTCCTACAGACCACTATTACGAATACTAAAATAACAAGCGACCTAAGTGGTTGAAAAAAGCGTTTGGTTAAATTCATTCATTCATTCATTTGTGAACTCTGTTTCCTGGCCATCTTCTTTGAGTTAGGCACTTGAGATTATAGTCTTGAGCAAAATAAACATACTTTTTTTTTTATCTCATGGGAATTACAGTTTTGTGGAGACAACAATAAAATCATCATACAATCACAAATTATTATAGCTATAGGAAGCGTTTTGAAGAGAGAGGTGTAAGGGTATGAGAGGTTATAATGGGAAGGCCATGAGAAAGGTTACAATGGGAGGTCCTGGCCCGGTCTTAGATACTGTGGAGTCAGTAAAAATGATGCTGTAGAAGTATGTCCATAGCATGCAATATATGCATAACATTATTAAGGGAAAAATGAATTGCAAACCAGTATGTACAGCATGATTTTATTTATAAATGTAAAAATATACATGTACATAGAAAAGTATAGAATGACATGAAAATGTCAACAGTGTGATTAGCTGTTGAATTATGGATGGTTTTAATTTTATACTTATCTCTTTTTTCCTAAGTTTTCTATAATCGATATATACATTACTTGGGTAATGGAAAAAAAGGATAAAAAGACATCTGTAGTCCCTGTGCTTGAAGACCTTGCATTCTAGTGGGGAAGACAAAATACATAGAGAAATTATGACAGTTCAGTGATGAAATGTCATGTAAAAGTGTTGTCTATTGAAAGCTGAGTGACTCCACTTTCCTGAGTTCCTAACAGCAGGCTGGTGGGGAGAGGAAAAGAAGGCAATTTGGTGATAGTACTGGAACCACCATTGTATTACTTTCCTAATGTTGCTGTAACAAATTACCATAAAGTAAGAAGCTTTAAACAATGAAGTTCTGTAAATCGGAAACTGAAGCAAATTCATTGCTTTTAACAACGAAGTTCTGTAAATCAGAAGTCTGTGCACAGCATGGCTTAGCTGGTTGCTGTGGGTTTTGAAGGCTGAAATCAAAGTGTTGACAGGGCTGTGATTTTTTTCTTGAGGTTCTAGGGAATGAATCCTCTTCCAAGCTCATTGAGGCTATTGACAGAATTCAGTTTCACATGGCTGTAGGACTGAGTTCCTATCTCCTTGCTGGCTATAAACTGAGAGTCAGTTTCAGCTTCTGGAGGTAACATATATTCTATAGCATATATTCTATGGCTCATGACTCCCATCCTCCAGCAAAATTGGGTCAGATTCTCAGTCTTGAATCTCTCTGACCTCCCCTTAGGGCAGCATCTTGGTTGCAGGTTGTACATATGAGTTGAAGACTCTCAGCCAGTGACAGGGTTTCAGGGACAGGGTAATTTTAGGCAGAGTTTTGGAGCCTCATTTAGGTATAAAGATGCTAACTAAATTTTCAGAAGGTAAGTTTATGGAGATGTCTTTGAAAATATTTTTTGTCATATTTTGGGGGTTCAAGGCAGGGCTTGCATTTTATCAGGGTAAAGTCAAGTAAAGTCGGCTGTGGAAGGATGGTACACATAATGGTGATTGGACGAAGAGGTGACTAGATGGTTATGAGGGTTTGGGGACTGAGAGGTGGCTCCAGGAGCCCATCTTCTAGTGAAGATGGAATTCTGATTAGAATACCAAGCTTGGTTCTCACTGTCTGAGGAATAGTGTGGTTGAGTCTACAGGTTGGAATTCTTGTTGGCCATCCTAAAGCCCAGAGAAGACTGGCACACACAGGAAGGTGCTCCTGACTCTATCTTGTACTCCTGACTCTATCTTGTGGAGTTGTAGAAGCTCAGAAGAAGAGAGGTATACATTTGTCCATTGGACTAATTCTTAAGTTTTACAGAGTATTCTCCCTACCTGTTGTCAAGGTATTCCTCAGAGCAGCCCAGTAGATCACCTACTTCTTCCCACACTTAGGGATACGTTTAAACAAATGGAGATGCTCTAAGCCTTTGATGAATTTGGCTTTGCTTTGAGGGAAAGCACTCCTCTCTCTGTCTCCTGTCAGTACTCTCTGATTCTAACTCTAACCTACTGTCACTCCCACTTTAGCATAAAGTGGAAAAGAGCAGCCTAGATAGATACCTCACATAAACTTGTATTTGAGAACTTATTTCCTCCCAAATTTACAAGCATTTGGAAATAGTAACATCTGTGACGTTCTAAATGAAAACTTATTGTATTATTTATACAGGTTTTTTTGTTTGTTTGTTTTTTGAGATGGAGTCTCGCCCTGTCACCCAGGCTGGAGTGCAATGGGCAAGATCTCAGCTCACTGCAACCTCCGCCTCCCGAGTTCAATAGATTCTCCTGCCTTAGCCTCCCAAGTAGCTGGGATCACAAGCACCTGCCACCACACCCAGCTAATTTTTGTATTTTTAGTAGAGATGGAGTTTCACCATGTTGGCCAGGCCAGTCTTGAACTCCTGACCTCAATGTTCCCCCCACCTCAGCCTCCCAAAGTGCTGGGATTATAGGCGTGAGCCACTACACCCGGCCTATACAGTTTTTTTCCTAAACTTTCATTCCCTCTCATGGAAAATATTAGAAGTTGTAAAGACGCTAACTAAATTTTCAGAAGGTAAATTTATGGAGATTTTTTTGTCATATTTTGTGACCATACTACTCTTAAGCCTAAATTTTTAAACTCTTTACAAAGGTAACATCTGTATTGCTAGTGCATTTCTGCCTTTAGGATAATACTTGCTGTGGAAAATACTGCGAGCAATTTGAAAGAGGAGATCCAGCTACGTACCTTAGAAAATGCGGGAGTTCAAAGTCAAAATGTTTTGCCAATTCTAAATAGGGAAGTGAAAACCTGTTTAACAGAATTAGATGACATGTATGCAGCTAGGCGGCAAGGAAGGGATGATTGGTTTTTCTCCGTGTTGTTTGACTAGGTGTATATGTTTGCCATGTCTAAGTTAAACAGCTGGTACAAATGCTCAATCTGAAGTCTCACTACTTGAGTTGGTTCTAGGTTACCTGACACCTGTGAAGATTTTTACAAGCTTTAGTCATTGTTCATGAGCTGATAGACAATGACCTTTGTAATATACTTCAGGTAATTATTAACTGCTTCAACTATGAGTTTGATGGCAATCAAGTGGGTTTGCCACCCACTTGTGTTTACCTGGGTGTCAGAGTTGAGGGCATCTAAGAAGTTAGAGGGCACACAGTCCACACACAACCACCCTTATATCTGACCCCAATTGCAAGATCAGGGGTCCATAAAACCACCTATTTCCTGGCAAATTATTTGCCAGGAAGACTTGCAGAACTCACTGAACGCTACTGTACTCATGGTTATGGTTTATTTTTAGGAAAGGATATAGAGTAAAATCAGCCAACAAAAGGAGTGCATGGGGCAGAGCTTCCATTGTTGTCTCCCTTGGGGAGAGTGGAGTACACGGAGTCCGAGCACAGTACTTTCTCAGTGTCAGTGTGTGACAATACACAGAGTATGGCTAACCAAAGAAGCTCACCTAAGCCTCAGTGTTCATAATTTTTGTTGGGACTCCATTATATGGCTGACTCAGGCTCCAGTCTCCAGCTCCTCTGGTCAATTTGATACCATGTGATCCCAAACTCTTAATCTAAACAACATTGTTGGTCTTTCTAGGGTGGTCGACGCCCACCCTAAATAGTATGTGGAGTGGTCTACCCCAACCCTAAAACACATTGTTAGACTTCTGTGACCCAAGAGCACCAAGTAAACAAAGACACTCCTATAAGGCTTAGAAATTAACTCCCAGAAGTGAAGGGCAAAGTCCAGATCTCTTTCTGAGTAAGGTTAAATTCTTACTACACACTGGGGCTCATTAAATTAAATTGGATTTTGTAAAGTCGATTTTCAGGAAGAAATTTAAAAATATTTCATTGTTATAGTTTTGTTGAGTTATAACTTACATATAGTAAAATTTACTCATTCAAGTGTAGTTTGAATTTGGTAACTATATGCAGTCATGCATCCTCCATCACAATCCATACTTCTTTTGCTCTTAGAAAATTACCTTGTGCCCCTTTGTAGTCAGTCCTTGCCCCCATTCTTGTCCCTAGACAACCACTGATCTGCTTTTCGTAGTATAGTTTTGTTTTTTCTAGAATGTCATATACAAATAATTATATATTATGTAGTATTTTGTGTCTACCTTTTAAAACATATAATAATGCTACTGAGATTCATGCATGTTGTTAAATACATCAGTGGTTAGTTCCTTTTAAATTACTGAGAAATATTCCATTGTGTGGCTATAACACAGTTTATCTGTTCACTAGGTTTTTTGCCATTTGGGTTATTTCAATATTTAACTTTTTTTTTTTTTTTTTTTTTACTATTGTGAGTAATACTGCTTTAACAATTTGTGTATGTAATTTAATATATTTCATTACTCTTGAAGAGTTAGATATATAGCATTGAGATTGCAGAGTCATGTGGTGAGGATGTTTAACTTTATAAGAAATTATCAAGCTGTTTCCCAAAGTGGTTGCTGCACTATTTTGCATTCCCACTACAATAGTAGGAGGGTTATATTTGCTTCACTTCCTCCTAACATTTTGTATTATGAGACTTTTTGTTATTTGTTACATTTTATTTTATTTTATTTTTTTTAGAGATAGGATCTCACTATGTTGCACAGTTTGGAGTGCCATGGCTATTTATTGGCATGATTATAGCACGCTACAGCCTCGAATTCCTGGCCTTAAGTGACCCTGAGGCTCCCATATAGCTGGGACTATAGGTACAGTCCCATGCATGTCACCATGCATGTCTCTGTTCTTTTTATTCTTAGCCATTCTAGTGAATCTGTAGTGGTATCTCACTGTGGTTTTAATTTGCATGTTTCTAATGACCGATGATGTTGACCATCTTTTTAAGTGCTGGTTGACCATCCATCTGTTTTCTTTTGTGAAGTATTCATATCTTGCATATTTTAAAACAAACTGGTTAGTCTTAATGAGTTATGAGCACTAAATCTGTATACAAGACCTTTGTTAGGTAAGTGTTTTGCAATTATTTTTTCTAATCTTTGGTTTGCTTTTTGTTTTCTTAGTGACATCTTTTGATGAGCAAAAGTTTTACATTTTGATAAAGTTGAATTTGTTTGTTTTTATTAATGGCTCATGTTTTTTGTGTACTATCTGGGAAATTACTGCCTTACCCCAAATTCACAATGATTTTTTTTTGTGCTTTCTACTGAAAGTTTTTTAGTTAGCGCTTATGTTGATATATATGATTCATTTTGATTTAATTTTTGATTATGGTGTGAAGAAAAGGTCAAGGTTTATCTTTTTTCTCCCATACAAAAATACAGTTATTCCAGAAGCATTTATTGAAAAGACTATCTTCCCCATTGAATTACTTTGCCACCTTTGTCAAAAATAGATTTTGTTATAGGTTTGATGGCATGAAAGGAGGCTGATGGAGTTTCTAGTAATAGCAGCTACCAGTATTATGGAGAAATAGAAATAGTTTACCTCAAATTAAATAAGCAAGGACATCATCTTTTTAATAGCACTATTTTAAATAACTAGTTGCAGCAAATCATAATAAAAGAGATAACTAGAATATGTATAGGTAGTTAGAAAGAAAAATAATACTATTTGCCAGTGACAAGGGACTATAACCTGGAATGTTTAGGAGATTCAACAAAAACGTATCTTGAAATGAGGCGCTTAAATTATAGGTTATAAAGCAGATGCCTAACTAAAGTCAGTCGTTTGTCTTATCAGTGCACAGAAAATACAATGAAAAATATAATACTTGTTTTATTAAAATAAAATCTAACAGGATATATGTGGGACCAAATACAGAGAGTTATAGTATTTTAATTAAAAAAAAAAAACAAGAGAGATATAATCTACTTCTGGTTGAGTAGTCTTAATATAGTAAAGATGACAATACTAACAAAGTTATTATATAGATTTAATAAAGTGCCAGTTAAGATCCCAGTAGGATGTGCATTGAACTTGATTGATAGTATAAATCACAGAGTAAAGGATCAGGGAAGAATTTCAGAGGAGAAATGTTTTTAAATTGTTTCTCATTCACAAAATAATTTGAAAGGATTAGAAGTAGGTGCATATATTGTAAGACAATGAAATGGGAATAAAAAAGATCAGGAGGCACACCGTGGAAGTGGAGAAGAGATGAGACCAGAAATCTAGGCTAAGTGTAGTTACTGACATAAAGCACTAAATTAGCTGTGAACTTTCTGGTTTTGAAGGCAGGAAGGGAAACATATGGGTTTCACCATGGGTTGGATATAAGACAACAGGGAATATTGGACACTTTGGACTTTACGTGTGTGTGCCCCATGTAAAGGAGATAGCTGCTAATTGGGGTGAGTTTTGGCATATGGGTAGATGGGGCCAGTGATGCTAAGTTTTCAAAAGAAGCCGGAAGTCTGTTAATGAGTAGAAGAGTGTATCAGTCTTATGATTTTTAAATGTTGGCAGTTAGCATACTAGCCAAATAAAAGGTGGGAGTGAAGGGTTACTCATTGTGTGAGTACAGGTCGTGTATCTATGGTTGTCATTATCTAATTAATAATTGTGTCACTTAGAGGAGAATGAAAGGGGTATTGCCATTCTAGGCCGAAACCTGTTCCAAAGGACAACAACAAGACTACCTGGACATAGGTTAAGAACAGTGATTGGAACAAAATAGAAACAGCAGAAATAAATACTGTGAAAGTAGTCAGTGTTTAACAAAAAATATTGGGTTGAGTGATACTGTGAAGAAAGCTACATTTAGATCTACTTTAATCTCATACCATGCAAAATAAGTTCCACATGGGTTAAATATTTTAAAATCAATGTTCTACTTTGTATAATTGAATGAATATTATACTTTAATGGTTGTTATATTTTGTATAATTTCAATATTATAAATGAATATTATACTTTGTATAATTTCAATAATTGATACATTGTTGAGGCAATAAAGAAATTAAATAAGGCTGGGCGCAGTGGCTCATGTCTGTAATCCCAGCACTTTGGGAGGTCAAGGCGGGCGGGTTACTTGAGGTCAGGAGTTTGAGACCAGCCTGGCCAACACCCCGTCTATTAAAAAAAAAAAAATACACCACCAGGCGTGGTGGCGGGCACCTGTAATCCCAGCCACTTGGAAGGCTGAGACAGGAGAATTGCTTGAACCCAGGAGGCAGAGGTTGCAGTGAGCCGAGATCATGCCATTGCACTACAGCCTGGGCAACAGAGTGAAACTCCATCTCAAAAAAAAAAAAAAAAAAAAGAAAGAAATTAAATAATACCAAGGTAGGCATGTTTGATTATCAAAAATTTGATTCTCTGATATAAAAGCAATACAATGGGAACAACATTTAGAGTTTTTCTATGATAGGTAAGATTTTTCATGCAACTGGGGATGTATCTGTACGAGTAGATCCAGTAGGCAGATAATCAAAGGACAGGTTACACTGTTGAAAATAACAACAGTAATGTTTGGCCTAAAGATCTTCATTTGTAAAATGAAAATAATAGCAGTACTTCCTTGGGTGTTTTAGAGGAGTAAAGATCATAAATCATGTATACTCCTTAGCACAGTGCCTGGTATCGTGAACGTTAACTGTTGTTTATTATAATCATCTTCATTATCATCATCTAAAACAAGCTTCAAAGTTACTTAATCAAGGCTTCGTCCCTTTTTAACCTAGATGGGGAAAACACAGCTATTTTAACCAACTGTTAAATTTATGTAGTTTACAAAGCACTCTCACATATTCTGTCTCATTGATTCTCACTATCCCTGGGAACTGCTTAAATTTTTTCTCAGGGGAGGCTTTCAGGGTTCCGTTTTTCATAGACACAGCTTGGTCTTTGTCATCACCCTTAATTGTTCTACCTATAAAATCAATTCAGAGTAATTCTAAACTTTCCCCACTCTCACCATGGTCTTCTGTCCTTCCATCTTGCATTGCATGTCCTTTTTTGCCCACTGCAGCCATTCTTCGACCTCTAGTCCTTTGACTCCTGTACTTTCTCCCAAGTGCTTTTTGTTTTTGTTTTTGTTTTTGTTTTTGACGGAGTCTTGCTCTGTCGCCCAGGCTGGAGTGCAGTGGTGCGATCTAGGCTCACTGCAAGCTCCACCTCCCGGATTCACGCCATTCTCCTGCCTCAGCCTCCCGAGTAGCTGGGACTACAGGCGCCCGCCACCACGCCCGGCTAATTTTTTGTATGTGTTAGCCAGGATGGTCTCGATCTCCTGACCTCGTGATCAGGATTACAGGCGTGATTCACCGTGCCCGGAATTTTTTTTTTTTTTTTTAAAGACAGAGTTTCACTCTGTGGTCTAGGTGGGAGTGCAGTGGGGTGATCTCGGCTCACTGCAACCTCCACCTCCTGGGTTCAAGTGATTCTCCTGCCTTAGCCTCCTGAGTATCTGGGATTACAGTTGTGTGCCACCACACCTGGCCAATTTTTGTATTTTTTTTGTAGAGATGGGGTTTCACTGTGTTGGCCAGGCTGGTCTCAAACTCCTGGCCTCAAGCAATCCACCTGCCTCGGCCTCCCAAAGTGCTGGGATTGCAGGCATGAGCCACCACGCCTGGCCTCCAAGTGCTGTTTTTACTCTACTGTCATCCTTGCTTTTTGTTGTAATATAATTTTTTCATAATGTTGTGACAATATCTAGTGAATATCTGTGCCTTACTCTGTCTTACTCAGAGATCTGAAAGAAATCTGTGATAGGCAAAGGATTCCGAGGGACATTTCTCCAAAACAGCTATGTGAATGTCTAACAGGCACATGAAAAGATAGCCAACATCATTAGCTATCAAGAAATGCAAATCAAAACAACAATAAGTTACTATTTCACATCCACTAGAATAATTATAATAAAAAGGCAGTTACAGATGTTGGTGAGAATGTGGAGAAATTGGAGCCCTCATACGTTGCTGCTGGGAATGTAAAATATGATAGCTGCTCTTGTAAACAATCTGACAGTCCATCAAAATATCAAACATAGAGTTACCATATGATCCAGCAATTCCACTCCTTCGTATCTACCCAAGAGAACTAAAAACAGATGTCCCCACAAAGACTTGTACATGAACATTCATAGCAGCTGCAGCATCTAATAGCCAAAAACAGAAAACAGCACAAATGTACATCAACTGATGACAGGATAAACAAAATGTGGTATATCCACACAATGAAAAGTTATTCAGCCATTAAAAGGAATGAAGTGCTTATATATGCCATGGCATGGATGAACCTTGAAAGTGTTACACTACATAAAAGAAGCCAGCCACATATGGTACAATTCTCTTTATATGAAATGTATAGAATAGACAAATGTATAGAGACATAAGGTAGATTAGTAGTTGCCTAGGGCTGGGGAGTAGTTGGACATGGAAGGATGATGTATTCACTCGTTTTCTGTTGCCTACAGCAGAATACCTGCAACTGGGTAATTTATAAAGAAAAAGGAATGTATTTCTTATAATTATGGAGGTTGAGAAGTCCAAGATGGAGGTTCTACATCTCATGAGAGCCTTTTGCTGGTGGGGACTCTGTGCAGAGTCCTGAGATAGCTCAGGGTATCACATGATGAGGGGTCGAGTGTGCTGATATGCTAGCTCACATCTCTCTTCTTACAAAGCCACCAATTCCCCTCCCATGATAATTCATTAATCCATTAACAAGGGAGGAACTCTCATAATCCAATCACCTCTTAAAGGCACCACCTCTCAATACTGCCACACTGGGGATTAAATTTCAACATGAGTTTTGGAGGGGACAAATATTTATACCATAACAGATGAGGAGTAATTCTAATGGATAGGAGGTTTCTTTTGGGGGTGACAAAAGGTTCTAAAATTAGATTGTAGTAATGAGATGAACAACTCCGTCAAATATACTTAAAACATTGAATTGCACAGTTTACACAGGTGAATTTTATGGTATGTTAATTATATTTCAGAAAAGCTGATAAACTAAAAAGAAAATGAAATTTCTGGCCATTGGCCCATGACACATATTATTTCTCAGTATGAGTGCTGAAACAAGTTGATTTAGGAGTGTTCTTTCAATTTATTGGACTAAGTAGAAAATTGTTTTTTTATGTGAAATGTTCTTTTTTAAGAGACCAGGCAGGTCTTGCTTTGTCACCTAGGTTGGAGTGCAGTGGTACCACCTTGGTTCACTGCAGCCTCAACCTCTTGGGCTTGAGTAATCCTCCCAGCTCAGCCTCCCAAGCAGCTGGGACTACAGGCGTGTGTCACCACATCTGGCTAATTTTTGTATTTTTTGTAGGGATGGGGTCTGGCTGTGTTGCCCAGGCTAGTCTCAAATTCCTGGCCTCAAGTGATCCTCCTGCCCTTGTCTCCCAAAGTACTGGGATTACAGACAAGAGCTAATGCACCCAGCTAAAGTTGTTTTAATTTACTTTCTTGCCTCAGTTTATTATAAGTAATATCATTTGCTATAAGTGACTCTTGGTTGCCATTCTGACAATTATGTCTCCCTCCATGGTACATGGATAAGCAGGAGACAGGCATTGTAGCTAAAGAGGGGAGTCTTCCCCCGTGCTTTTCCAGTTCCATGCCTTTGCTTTGCAATGTTAGTATCTTCTTTGGCTCTTTCGTCATCTTGCTTTTTACTCTTACGAGGCCTTTGACAATCTATTCGAAACTATGAAGTATAAAATCTGTCTTCAGAAAAATACATATGGATTTGCACATCAGATTTTGCTTATGATTTCTGGAGGCTCACAGATTTCACCCAGGTTAAGAATCTTAACCCTACACACTGACTTTGGTGATCTCATGCACTCCCAGGGGAAAGCTACCATTTATATATGCCGATTATTCCAAAATCACTGTCGCCTGTCCAGATTTCTCTGCTAGAATCCTACAGCCAACTGTATAGGTCCATTTGGACACTTCATAGGTGTCTCCAACTTAAATTCTCTGCAGTTGGAACGTCATCCTTGTCCTTCGGTACTCTGCTCCTCCTCCTGAGTCCCCTATCTTACAGAATTGAGCAGGATTCCAAACCAGAATGTCCTAACCGTTTAGTCTGAGATGCTAAGCATTATGTTTAATTTTTTTCCTTTCCACCTATGTATAATCAGTCATAAAGTTTTCTTCATTGTGTCTAAACTTTTGAAATCTCCTTTTTATTCACATTCCCACCCTAGTTCAAGTCATCATTTCTTGGTAGAAATTTAGTAGCCTCCTGGCCAGTCTCTTTTCTCTTGCTTGCCTCTGACTCATTCTGCACCTTGCAGCTGGTGAGCTCCCAGTGGCTTCCCAGTGTCTTTAAGATGAACTCCAGACTTTCTAACATCTTTTTTTTTGAGACTGAGTCTCACTCTGTCACCCAGGCTGGAGTACAGTGGTGCAATCTCAACTCACTGCAACCTCCACTTCCCAGGTTCAAGCAATTCTCCTGCCTCAGCCTCCCAAGTAGCTGGGATTACAGGCGCACACCACCACACCTGGCTAATTTCTGTATTTTTAGTAGAGACAGGGTTTCACCATGTTGGCCAGGCTGGTCTTGAACTCCTGACCTCAAGTGATCTGCCCACCTCGGCCTCCCAAAGTGCTGGGATTTACAGGCGTACCATTTATAAGGCCCTGCATGATCTAGCATCAGCTTGCCTGTCCAGCCGTCTATGAACCATCCTGACCATTTTCTTGTTTTCAGCTGTGCCATGCTCCCTTTAACCTTTTTGCCTTTGCCTGCTCTGTTCCTGCGCTGTTCCTACCCCCTTTCATCCACACTGGTTAACTCTTACTCATTCTTTAGGTCCCAGCTTTAGATATCCCTTCCTCAGGACACCTATCCTGATTTTCCATTAATGGGGTACGTTTGATGCCTCCTCTATAATCCTGTTTTCCCTGCTCTAGCACTAGCACACTGTTTGTAATTGTCTTCTTACTCTCTGGATTGTGAACACTAAGAAGGGAGACACTTAGTTGTGTGGTCTTATTTATCATCGTATCTTTAGTACTTATTTAGGCCTACACCTGGCAGAATAGGTGTTTGATAAAATTCTTTTGAATAAACGAGAGTATTTCTCTGTTCCTGAAATATCTTCTTCCTTACCTTCACTCCCCTCTGGCCCCACTTAGCAAAATCTTATATAATTACCATCTGTTTATTAATTTGGGAAATATGCAGCTTCTTCTTTATTCCAGGCATCATTTTAGGCACTAAGGATGTAGGGATGAATTAAGCAGTCAAATATCTCTGCCCTGTTGGAGCTGATATTCTACTAGTGGTGGTGGTGGAAAATAAACAGATAAATAAGTAAAATACACAGTGTGTGAACGAGTGTAAGTCTGAGGAGAAACAAAGCAGGAAAGATGAAGGCACATCAGAGTGGAAAGTTGGCGTTTTAGACAGGCTGGCCAGCAAAGGCTTCACTGAGAAGATGTCTTTTGAGTGAAGACTTCAAAGGAGGGAAGGAGCTAGCTCTGTTGCTCTCTAGAAAAAGAACATTCCAGGCAGATAGGCAGTGCAGCAGCCCCACGGTGAGAGTGTGCCAGGTTGCTTGAGGAACAGAAAGGAGACCAGTGGGAGACCAGGCGAAGGTGAGGTTAGAGAGGTGCACATTCTCTGAGTATTGCTGTCTTAGTCTGATCCTTGGGCTTCCTCTGCAGTTTAAAGTTATTTTCAGCTCTCAGTGCTGTGAATTACCAGAAAGGGCCATGAAAGTTTCTCTTCTTAGCAGTTGCCTGTAAATGAAGGTCTACAGAAGTGCTGGCGGAGGAGGCTGCCATGCTGTTTAGAATTCAATTGTCTCTTTGGGGGTTGGTGAGATGGATCCTTAGGTTTTAGTTTTAACAAATGGCACCTCTTCCTTAGGAGATTTTTGCCTCTTCCTAGTTAGGATTGAGGAAGCAGTGGGGAAAGGCACACCCCTGTCAGCAACCTCATGGGTTGGGTTTCTTGGGTTTCACCAACTCTGGTGTGCTGGCCCCATAGTTCTTTCCTAGTATAACAGGGCTCTCCTGGGGGCATTTGGGTCCCACCCCAGATTAGATGACTGGACTTGCCTTGCTGGTACCCCAACACCAGCCCCTCTGGAAATAAGAGGCCTCCTCTGGGCAGAATTCCGCTGTGGGTGGAGTACAGATCTGCGGGGCTCTCTGTAGCCTATGTTTAGCAATAGCAAGCCTCCGCTAGGCTGTCATGGTTTTCAGTTTGGTATGATTCACTCACGGCAACACTCTCTGTGGAAAGGGGCTATAAATTGTAAATTGATATGAGGTAATAATTGGGAAAATGATCAGACTCCATTTTTATTCCCCTCTGGGGAAGACACATATCAGGAATCACTAAAGCAGAAGGTGACAGAGGGATTTTTCAGCCTGCTTTCCAGCTTTAGTGCTGCAGTGCTTCCATCCTGATTGGAGAGGAGAGCAGCCAAATTCGGCAGGAGGCAGCCAAATTCGGCAGGAGGCGGCCAGCAGATCTAGTATCTGCTTGCCACCTTTTGCTCCAAAAAGTCTTGTCACAGAGTTGCCATGGCAGCAGGAGGCAATTTAATGGCAAAGGCTCATCTCTGGATCAGCGCTGCTGTTCCCCAGCCATTCCCTCTCTAGCCTTCAATTCGAGGGGCTGGCCATACCAGGGTATCACTGTTCCGTGGCCATTTGAGTACGTGTTGCCTAATGGAAGAGCTGTAAGATCTTCCAGATTCTAAGGACGGCTACATTTTCTATCCCCTGCTTCTCCTTGGTGCATAGCTCTTTGATACCCCATCCTATAGTCGACTTTATCAGATTATTTGCAGTTCCTTAAATATGCTCTTTCATGATTCTGTGCTTTTAGACATGCAGTTTTCTCTGCCTAGAGTGCTCCCTTCCCCATCTGTCTGGAAAATTCCTACTCAATTTCAAAATATGGCTTAGATACTGCCTCCTCCTCCTTAATGGTTTCTCTAACCCCTTATCCTCCATGCAGAATTACACAATTTCCACTGACATCTCAGCCTTGCCTCCTATCACATGGTTTTTAAATGACTGTATATATTTTTGTGTGTTCTTCTCTAGACTGTAACTTACTTGCATTCAAGAACTATATTTTATGAATTTGGTATCCAAAGGGTCTGGCCCAGGAGTATACACCTAGTAATGTTTGTTATAAATGAAGTTTTTCTTATCCTATTTAATTCCTGTCACGTGAGTGTTGCATACCACATAGAGTACAGCCCTATATCATGTACAGGTAGGGCTTTGTCTGTCAGGGATCCCAGAAGATTAGGGATCTCCAGGGATCCCAGAAGATTGCACTGATTTAATCAACTGACTTGCTGGTCTGTAACTCACTTTCCTTTGCATTTATTCTCACTTTACAGTTTGAACTGGAAAGTTAGGTTAGTCACCCAGCTTGCCAGTCAGTTCCATCATTTGTTGAATTAGGATGTTGTGAGGCTAAAGCCTGTAATGCTTTGTGACTCAAAGTAAATTATTGGTGAATCTTATTTTCTTTACCTTCTCCTATCTTCAGTAAAGAAAGTAAAAGCAAAACAGAAGTTTAAACCAGTTTTAAACCTTCTATGGCATCATATCATTCATTTTAATCTTGCTCTGAGTGCAGCTTTAAAAGTCACTTCTTTTCTGACTCTTATCCTTTTTCCTGAGTTTCAGTGATATAATGTCCCACCTTTGTCTCGTTTCCCTGTTTTCATCTTTGGTGCATCTGTCCTCCTCGTTCACCTTGTAGACAGAGCATTTTATTCAGACATCTCTCCTTTTCCTGCCTGTTGGGATAATTTGTTATTGTATCTCAAAAATATCCATTTAAAAATAAACCTTTTCCTCTTCCTCAGATAATTTCTGGAAACCACCCCAACTGTAATAAATACACATTTACATGCCTTACCAGCTGTCCTCTGTAATGTTTGCTTTGCAGTTTGGTCTGAGCATTTTTCTCCATTCCCATCTACCTTTTAAGTTCAAAGCTTACTTAGGCTGTTTTGCAATTCCCTTTGCAAATGCATTTCTGTATCATCTGATCATGCTATGTGCATATTGTATATGCCAATGCCTGCAGGTGTCTAGGCTGTTTTGTTTATAGAGTATTTTTCTGTTACTGCTTCTTGTCTTTCATTCTCACTTTTGGTATTTTATTTATTCCTGTTCCTCTAAAGGATATGAAACTTAAAGCTGTATTTAAGTTATTAATAAGCTTAGTAAAAGATTCACTGAGGATAACAACGACAAACTTGCTCTTAACTTAGGTTTATGGATTATCTGTGACATGGGCTCTCCACCTTGGAGATGGCATAGGGAAGGGGGAGGTATGGAGGCCAAGGCACATAATCAGAGTTGGCCTGAGAAGCTTTTTCAAAATGTATGTGCTGCATCTCTTTCCTGATCCTTGCCCTGTTGGGAGTGAAAGTAGGTGGATACTGCGTGTTACCCTCTCAGCTGAAATACTCATCTGTAGTTTTCAGTTACAATAATCTGGTTTGTCAATACCATGCTTATTACGATTATTTGTTTCATTGTCTAAAAATAAAACTATCAGTTCATTTTGTTTAAAGTGAAAACTGAAAAACTAATGTAAGCATTTATTTACCTGGTTAAGGACATTTTCCAATCAAAAGGCAAGAAAGTGCAGTTTTAATAAATCATAAATTGGTTTGATACAAGCACTTGGCCTCCTATAAATATTCAGTTAAATATGAATTAGTTAAAGTATAATTACTTTTAAGCATGTTGCCATGGATTGGATGAACTTCAGAATGCTGGAAACAGAATATTCAAAGTTAATAGAGAACAGTTAAATTTACTAATGATATTTGTAGGAAATATTTTGGAATAGTGCAGAATGGAAACAGTGAAACTCAGAATCAGAGGTACTATGTTTGAATTCATGCTTTGGCACCTACTAGCTCTCTTGGGCCTGGTGGTTAGGCCTCAAGGCCTCAGTTTTAACATCTTTGGAATAGTTATGGCCCCTACCTCACAGAGTTGTTGCAAAGATCAAATAAGTTCTTGAATGTGACAGTGACTAACACCTACACACCCAACAAATGTTAATAGAATCTGAACCTAAGGTCAAGGTCTGTATGTTATTTTTAACTTCATGTGTGTGCATTTGAATATGTGAAAGGCATAGAGAATTAAGCTTAATATCTTTTCTTTTCCTTCTTTGTTTCTTTTTTTTTTTTTTTTTTTGAGACACAGTCTCGCTCTGTTGCCCAGGCTGGAGTGCGGTGGTGCGACCTCGGCTCACTGCAATCTCCGCCTCCTGGGTTCAAGCGATTCTCCTGCCTCAGCCTCCCAAGTAGCTGGAATTACAGGTGCCTGCCACCACACTCAGCTAATTTTTGTGTTTTTGGTAGAGATGGGGTTTCACCATGTTGTCCAGGCTTGTCTCCAACTCCTGACCTTAAGCGATCTGCCCACCTTGGCCTCCCAAAGTGCTGGGTTTACAGGCTTGAGCCACTGCACCTGGCCAGCTTAATATATTCTTAGACTATGGAAGGCAGGTAAGATACAGAGTGTAAACATGTGATGTATGTGAGTGTGTATTTCTTGAAGATGTGTATTTCTTATTCAAATAAGTTTTTAGATCTTTTCAAACCATATACACAGGCTGAAAAATGTGCAGTGTTAATTTCACAGTGTTGTAGTCATGGTAGCATTCTTCTCACCCTCCTGTTCTTGTTTTCTTTGTGCTGGATCTGTTTTGGGGGCCTACTTGGTTCTCAAGGGTAATGACCTTACCCTTAGTCATGAATACTCCTACACAGATTTTTTTTTCCTAAATGAAAACCGAATGTTAGTATTGTATCCCTGTTTTATGCCCATATAAGAAAGGGTTGAGTTTAGTTCCTTACTATGAAATGTAAGATGTATGGAAAGCAAATAGTATTCTTAATGGTAATGACACGAATCACTGAGTGCATACTATGTTAGGTGCTTTATATATATTATTGATCACATTACAACAAACTATAAAATCGGTGATATGTAATTTTTCAGATAAGGAAACTGAGGCTCAGAAGGATAAATATATTTTCCAAGGTCAGAGAACTATTAAGAGAGAACCAGAAAGCAAGTTCACATTGGTCTGACTAAAGCAAGGGATAAGGTTGCTGCCCAGTCACTAGCATAAATCAAAGGAATATGTTTTAAGGTATAAAAGAAGTTAGAAATATAATAGGGATACTTTTGCCCTTGGAGGAGGCTGAAGCCTACAGGACAGACAGTGTATCTATTCTCAAGAGGTTGTCATTGATCCAGCCTAGGCCCAGCAGCAAGGCCCTGGCAGCTTCTGGCTTTTTTTTCCTTTTCCCTAAGCTTCTTTTTCTACTGTGATGTGATTTCCCCAGATGGTTCTCAAGGCATTGCTCATCACTTAGAACTGTGTACTCAATGCCTCTCTCCCATCCCAGTTCCACTGCCCACCTCCCACCCCATAGAGAAACACACAACAGAATTACTGTGAGAGTTAAATGAGTTAATACATGTAAAGTGTTTAATACGGTGTCTGATAAATAGTAAGTACTCAATAAAATTGGCTATCATTTTTAAAAGTCTTTATCATTAAGTATTATTAGGCCAGGCACAGTGGCTTATCATACCTGTAATCCCAGCACTTTGGGAGGCCAAGGCGGGTGGATCACCTGAGGTCAGGAGTTCAAGACCAGCCTGGCCAACATGGTGAAACCCCGTTTCTACTAAAAATACAAAAATTAGCCGGGTGTGGTAGTAGGTGCCTGTAATTCCAGCTACTCAGGAGGCTGAGGCAGGAGAATCGTTTGAACCTCAAAGGCTGAGGTTGCAGTCAGCTGAGACCATGCCATTGCACTCCAGCCTGTGCAACAGGGCAGAACTCCATCTCAAAAAAAAAAAAAGAAGTATTCTTAGTAGTGATGGTGGTGGTGATGGCAATGGTAGCAGTGATAGTGGTGGTGGTGGTGGTAGCAGTAGTGGTTGATTCAAAGGTTTTGTGACACATTTCTCAAGGACCTGATTGTTCCCTGTCCAGAATCTGTCTTTGTGCAATTCATTATACAGGGTCAAAGGCATAGACATGCTTAGTCAGACGCCCAGGATAGAAGAAGGGAGAATTAGTAAGAGAATGCTTGTTTCTACTCAGAAGTTGCCAGAAACAATTCTCTGTATGCCCTGCTTCCTTGTTATCAGCCATGGAAACAGTCCACAAAACCTACTTCTAAACCTCATCTTTCTGCCTGGCTTTTTTTCTTTCCTTCTATCTGCATAGATAGAACATTAATGGGTTTGGAGTCACTGATAGGGTCACACACACATTTTTTTTTTTTTTTCGTTTGGTAAGTTATACCTGACCTTCATGCCGGGTTCCCAGTCCCCTTGCTGCGCTGAAGTGTGCAGTGTTACTTGATCTGCAAAGGCCTCTGTAGTAGCCCCCTTTTTTTTCCTACTTATTTTTTTTTCCTTTATAGTTTCCATTTTAGCATATGTATTGACTTTACCTTTTCTGCTTTTCAGTTTGTTCTCCTAATTTTTATATTAGGTTATATTTCCTGTTCCAGATTTGAAACCACATTTTGCATAGCAACAGAGTTTAACTGTGTGAAAGGCTATTGACAGATGCATGATTTTATAAAACTTCCTATGGACTCAGTGGAATTGAACCCTGGCTGGAGATTCATTTTAGGTGGAAGCATTCCTTCTTGTACTCCCTTCCTTGATCCGTGTTATTGCACTTAGCTTATCTCAATTGAGAATGTTTAGCCCTTACTTTCTCTTTGAGCAAATGTTAGCATCTACAATCTTTATCATCTCATCTACTTTATAACATTAAAAATACATGCTTTGGCGTGCTTTCTAATTAATCTTCCCTTTTCTAAAATACAAGTATACAGGATGTAAAGGGTATAATTTCAGATTTGGGGATTATTTTATCTATCTGTAATGGACAGTATTTAAACTATTAATAAACAATATTTACTGCCGTTATATCAGTTCAAAAGTAATTGGCATTCTTTCTAAAGATGCGGATTCTGAAAGGTAAAATAAATTAAAAATCACTTTATTTTAACACCCAGCGATGACTGTAGTTGAAATGTTGGTGTATTTCCCTCTGGTCCCCATTTAACTTTGTATATTCAGTTGTATATATTCATTGATATCTATAATATATATTCATTTTTGGAATTATATAATTCTGTTCATATGAATTATATATAATGAATGAATTACATTTATTAACTAAAGTTTACAGTTTATATATAAACTGTTATTCATGCTGTATTATATAGCAGTATTATGATATTCCAATAATTTTTTTTGGTACAAGTTTGACAAAATAAGAAAAAATTAATGATTTGAAGAAAACTAAAATAGATGATTTCTGATTATGAAATATGCATGTGCACAATACAAACATTTAAATATTAGAAAAATAGATCATGAAAATTATAAGTCCTACAATTCCCCTATTCCCACTGTTAGTCTGTTAATAAGCAATTTTTTTAAAATGTATTTATGATGAGATTTTTATCGTGGAGGAATGTGGAATAGATGTTCTTTGCTCTAGGCTTAGTCAAATATGCAGGGACCCACAATGTGTTTTGTGAAGTAATATCTCAGTTTTTTTCTCCATGCTTTAGGTATGTATTCTTTTTGGATCCATGCAACCTGGACTTGATAAACCGGAAGATTAAGTCTGTAGCACTGTGTGTAGCAGCGTGTCCAAGGCAAGAACTGAAAACTCTGAGTGATGTTCAGAAGTTTGCAGAGATAAATGGTGAGACATTAGGCCATCCAAATCTATGTCCTGTCACCTTGTTCTCTTTGTTAAATATAAATTTGCCCTAGTGTTAAATAAATTATCAAGGAACCTTAGATAATTGAAGTAATTTTGGACTTCCTTGCTAAAAAATATTATAGTCACCCAGGGAGCTTGTTAAACTCCAGATTCCTGGGCCCCTCCCTGGGCAAAATTCTGACTGAGTGGGTCTTTGTGCTCTGGAAGTTAGTATTTTTAAAATAAATATCTCAGGTGACTTTGATGTAGTCTATCGAGTATTTGGAAATTACTAAACCACTCTATGTAAAATTTATTTCTTGTTCCCCCTTCCCAAGTATTGGTTAAAAGTATTTCAATTCACATATATAAAAATTGAAATAAGTTTTATATGTTGAAACAATATATATACATACATATGTGTGTGTGTGTGCATGTGTGTGTGTGTGTGTGTGTGTGTGTGTATCTCCCTGGTTAGCAATGTAACATATGCATATTATAGGAAATTTGGAAAGTTCAGAAAAAATAAGAAGTAGAAATTTAAATTCTAGCATCAGTACTTTTTCAATGAGTCGGTGTGTATATAGTTTTGTGTTCTGCTTTTTAAATTTAACGTTCTGTCATAGCTCTTTTTCTGATAATAATTGTGAGCAACTTTGAGGCTAAAGATAGAGGAATTAGCTGAGAAAACTAACATAGTTTCCTGAAATCTAGCTCTGTTCTCTGAGGCATTTTATCTCTAGTACCATCCTCAGGTCCACATGGCTTGCCTCAGTTCTCTTCAGAGAATCGTTTTTTTAACCACCCTTTGTAGAGGCCTATCTTTTTGAATTTCCTTGAGGTTTCATGCTTGTATTTTGTGTGTAGGAATCCTCAGAGCTGCCTTGATCCTGCCCAGATCCACAGGCTAGTGCTGGTTGCTTGGAACAAGGAACGACCCAGGTATCCAGTGGGTACAACTTCTAGCTGGGTGGACAGACAGCATGGAACCATAGCTCTACACACACTAGCATGGCTCCAGTGTCTTCCAGTTGGGGATGCTAGCCTTCTGAAGGCAGGAGGACTGCAGCCTCCCAGGCTGGCAGTATCCCTGTTCCGTTGTTCCATGCCCTCAGCATAGGATAACATGGGTTGATTTGGGTCTGGATTCCAGTGCTGACTGTCACTGACTGGCTCTGTAATGAGGGTAAAGGGTAAAAGTTCTCTGAGCCTAGGTTTCCTCATCTGAAAAAATGTGGATTAAAAATAATACTCCCTCATAAGTTGTTATGAAGATTAAATAAGATGATGTATGAAGAATACTGGACACTTGGTAGGTACTTGAATAAAGAAGTGCCAACCACTCTTCACGATCTCATTTTTTATTCCCATATTGTATCCCCACATGTGTTGTTGCTGAGCCTCATACCAGCCTCAACATTATAAGGTTTCTTAGGGAGGGGTGAGCCCTTCCTTAAGGGTTTTTCCAGAATTTTAGACAATGTGAGTATACTCTGACAAGTGGTGTGGTTGAGTGGTTAAAAGTATATGCTCCGGAGTCCTATTGTTTGGGTTCAGATGTTGCTCCTACCACTTACTGGCTGTGAGACCCTGGGCAAATTACTTGACTTCTCCTTGCCTCAGTTTCCACATCTATGAAATAGGGACGATATTCGTACCTAATATACTTCATAGGATGGTTATGAGGACTTGATACATGAACAATGCTTAGAACAGTATCTGGCAAATATTAAGTTGCTAAGAAAAATTATTGGCTGCTGCTATTATCATAATTATTATTATTCCACTAATGGAATGTAATAGTCTTTCTGCCTCTAGTCTCTCTCTAATTTTAGCTCTCTTACATACTACTGACATATTAACATTCCTAGAACTTCAATCAATGCTAACCCCTTGCTCGGAAATCATCCATAGTAAAAAATAAAAGTCTGTATGTCTTATGCTATCATTCAAAGCTATGATCTAGTCTTGAACTGTCTTCCAATATATCTTCTCAAAAAACCCACTGGATGTGAGTCTTGGTCCCTTGAACCTGAGCTGTCATCTGGAGGGCTAGAAGAGAACTAGGTCCTTATTGGCGGTGTGGCCTGCTGAGATGTTCACTGGAGGAGAGATGCCCTATGGTCCCCTGCTGGTATGCTTTGTTTCCAGGCTGGTATCCTTCTAAGTGAATATGATACTGACTGTGGCCTGTTCAGGTCTAGTTAAGAAGACCCTCCTGGTGGGTTTTACAGCTTTGTATTTCTCACTGTGTCTTGCACAAAGTAGGTGCTCAAGATGTATTAATGAATAAACATTATTTCAGCAAACAGACTTCTTAAATTGGTGCCTAGCTACAAAGGCACCATTAGGGTTTTGTGCCAGCTGTATGAATAGTAAGTCAATAAGGTAGCCATAAAAAATGACAGCATCCAGAAGCACAACAATGGAGGATAGAGAAGACAAAATTTTAACAGGCAAATAGAAAAGCTGTAAAATTATATCAGAGAGAGAGCCTTTTGTATAGAGGCCTAAATACCTTATTTGAGTAGCAACCCTAAGTTGAAATTTCTGAATTTCTCAAAAGAACCTATCCTGCTGTTTAAATTGGTGACTTAAAACTAGACCTGGTAATAAGATTTAATTCCAATATTATCCTTATCACTGAGAAAATTATTTCTCTGCTTTTTGCATTATTTTTCCTTCTTTTGTCTTTTTAAGTTATCTGGTTTTTTTCTTTTTCTTCCTGCTTAAGAGACAGGCTGAAGTGCAGTGGTCTAGGCTGTAGTACAGTGGCACAATCATGATTCATTGCAGCCTTGTACTTCTGGGCTCAAGTGGTTCTCCTGCTTCAGCCTCCTGAGTAGCTGGGACTACAGGCATGTGTCACCATGCCCAGATAATTTTTTTACTTATATGGCAGTGAGGTATTGCTGTGTTGTCTAGGCTGGTGTCAAACTCCTAGCCTTAAGCGATCCTCCCTCCTCGGCCTCTCAAAGTGCTGGGATTGCAGGTATGAGCCAGATACCTGGCCATTCAGTTATCCTCTCAATCATTTGAGGTGCAAGTTGATTCAAGAGTAGCAAATAATTTTTATTAGAATCTATGTCTGCATGTTGTTACAGCATATTTCTGTTAGAAAATACACAGACCCTTTAGCCTCAAATATATAGACCTCAATCATTAATTTCAGAGAGGAATATCTTTAATATATAATTCAAACTTAAGTGGGAAATTTTCAAATCAGTAAGAGGGGCTAGTTAAAGGTCCATGAAAGAGCCTAAATGTAAGAGCTAAAACTGCAAAAACTCTTAGAAGAAAATGTAGCAGAAAGCTGCGTGGCATTGCATTTGGCAATAATTTCTTGGATGGTACCAAATTGCACCAAAAGCACAGGCAACAAAAGAAAAAATACATAAGTTGGATTACATCAATTAAAAACTGTACATCAAAGGACAAAAATCAACAGAGTGAAAAGTCAACCCATAGAAGATATTTATAAATCAGATATCTGGTAAGCAGTTAATATCTAGACTATCTGAAGATCTACTATAAAAAAAAAACACTGAAAATCACACAAGTGTTGGTGAGGATGTAGAGAATCGGAACCTTTGTGTACCGTTGATGGGAATGTAAAACAGTGCAGCTGCTATGGAAAATAGTATGGAGGTTCCTCAAAAAATTAAAGATAAAATTAGCATATGATACAGCAGTCCCACTTCTGAGAATATATCCAAAAGAATTCAAAATAGGATCTTAAAGAGATATTTGCACAATCATGTTCATTGTAGCATTATTCACAATAGCCAAGAGGTGGAAGCAACCTAATGTCGGTAGACCAATAAATGGATAAAGAAAATATGGTGAACTGCCAGTCGTGGTGGCTCACACCTGTAGTCCCAGAACTTTGGGAAACTGAGGCAGGAAGATCACTTGAGTTCAGGAGTTCAAGACCAGCCTGCACAACGTAGTGAGATCTCGTCTCTATAAAAAGTAAAATTACCCAGGCATGGTGGCATGCACTTGTAGTCCCAGCTACTGAGGAGGCTGGGGCAGGAGGATCGCTTGAGCCCAGGAGGTTGCAGTGAGCTGAGATTATGCCACTGCACTCTAGCCTGGGTGACAGAGTGAGACCCTGTCTCAAAAAAACCTCAAAAACAAACAAAAACAAAGAAAATGTGGTGAATACATGCAATGGAATATTATTTTAGCCTTAAAAAAGGAGGAAAGAATGTCATATGCTACAACTTGCATGAAAATTGAGGACACTATGCTAAGTCAAATAAGTCAGTCATAAAGAGACTGCATAATTCCACTTACATGAAACAAAAAGTAGAAGTGTGGTTGCCAGGAACTGAAGGAGAGGGAAAAAGGGAGTTGTGGTTCAATGACTAGAGTTTCAGATTTACAAGATGAAAAAGTTCTAAAAATCTGTTGTACCACAATATGCATATAGTTAATAGTGCTGTACTGTACACTTAAAAATGGTTAAGACAGTCAATTATATGTTATGCATTTTTTACCACAATAAGAAATAGGAAAATAAATTCTGACACATGCTATAACATGGATGAACCTTGAGGACATTATGCGAAGTGAAGTAATCCAGTCACAAAAGGACAAATACTGTATGATTCCACCCTGGAGTAGTCAAATTTATATAGACAGAAAGTAGAATGATAGTTGCCAGGGTGGCAGGGAGAGTGGAAGGGGAATATTGTCTAATGGGTGAAGAGTTTTAGTTTTGTAAGATGAAGAGAGTTCTGGAGATGGATGGTGGTGATTCTTGCACAACAGTTTGAATGAACTTAATGTCACTGCACTGTACACTTACAAATGATTAAGATAGTAATTTTATGTTGCCTTTATTTTATCATAATTTTTATTAAGTTCATGAAAGAGTCCCACTTGAGGTAGTAACAGTTTAAGTGCTAATTTTATACCTTATTTTAAGATGCAAGGCAATATAACATGTTTCTTACTAGAATGAGAAGATAATATAAATGCTTTTCAAAGAATTTTAAGTTTCCATGACAACATTTGAAAGTACTTTTTAGCACTTACAACCATCCATTCACATGAAATTTTATTACCTCTAGAAATTAAAGGGGAAGAAGCTCTCAGTTCCTATGGTGGTGGTTGTAAGAAATCTATTTACTAGGCAAATAAATTATTTCCTCAAATCTTTGTTTCTTTTAAACAAGAAAAAGGAGTTGTTTTCTTGGGCACTTAGAGTTTGTGGAATGCCCCTGTCAAGTATGACTACAATAGACAGTTTGGAAGAAATAGCTGGAAATTAGATTGGTATTGTGGAGATGCTGTCATATTACAAAGGCTTTTAAAGGCAGACAGACAAATATAAAAATGTGAGGGCTGGCCAGGCGCATGGCTCACACCTATAATCCCAGCACTTTGGGTGGCCAAGGTGGGTGGATCACCTGAGGTCAGGAGTTCAAGACCAGCCTGGCCAACATGGTGAAACCTCATCTCTACTAAAACTACAAAAATTAGCTGGGCATGGTGGCATGTGCCTGTAGTCCCAGCTACTTGGGAGGCTGAGATAGGAGAATTGCTTGAACCTGGGAGGTGGAGGTTGCACTGAGCTGAGATCGTGCCACTGCACTCCAGCCTGGGCAACAAGAACGAAACTTCGTCTCAAAAAAAAAAAAAAAAGAAAAAGAAAATAATAATAATAATAAAAGAACTGTGAATGCTAGTACATGAGTTGGGTCGTGGGGTACAAATGTGCATTTATTTTTATGGTTCATAATTCATATAACACAAATATTATAAATACATAATGCTAGAGAAGAAAACAGTTTAAAAATTGCCTTTAAAAAATTGAAGTTGCCAAATACCATAAGGACTCAGTATCATACTTCTTGCAGTTGTGTATGAATTTCCTAGGGGCAAGCTCATGCTCTATTCATCTAGGAATATCCAGGCCCTAATATAGAGGCTCACGCAGTAGATAAGTAGATATCCATAAATGTTTTTTGAAAGAATGATGGGCTGGATTTCCCTGTTCTATTCTATTGCCACTTAATAATTTCTCATTCTCACAGAACACTTTATCCTCAATTCTG